>NC_000012.12:111248006-111399521 GCF_000001405.40 Homo sapiens
GTGATTCTCCTGCCTCAGCAACCGAAGTACAGGTGCCCGCCACCACGCCTGGCTAATTTTTTTTCCATATTTTTAGTAGAGACAGGGTTTCACCATGTTGGCCAGGCTGGTCTTGAACTCCTGACCTCAGGTGATCCACCCACCTTGGCCTCCCAGAGTGCCGGGATTATAGGCGTGAGCCACTGCGTCTGGCCCAAAGCATATCTTTTAACTGCTGGTGTCTTCACACCCCAGCTGGGTCCCGATGTCCCTGCTCTCTAGGTGGGGACACTGAGGCACAGAGTGTTCCAGGAAAGCTGCTAGTTCTTTCTCCACCTAGGCATGCCTCACCACCCAGGAAGTCTCACGTTCCTGCAGGCACCGCAAATGGCCTTTTTCTCCAAGCCCAGGTTGGAACTGAGTCAGAAGGGCCTCTTCTGTGTGCAGGACTCACATGGAGGTTCGGCTGGCAGTTTGCCAGCCATAGGGGGAGGAGGTGGATGCTGCCTGGAAGCAGAAGTAGGACAAGGACCAGCCCTCCTGTTGCAGCATTGTCTGTCTGTCACCCGGCTATGCAATCACTCCTTCAGGGTGGGGGAGGGGCTGGTGGGCTTTGAGAAATTTCAAGGAGGGGGGTGAAGCCAGGATAAAGGGGGTGTCGGTCTAGGCCACAGAGAAACGCTAATGCTCATGGGGCCTGGACGGGCTCACACCCATACGGGGAGCCAAATGCAGACCCTCAGCCTGTCCCAACAGACGGCTGACACCCAGCTCCAGGTGGCCGCTGTCGATGGAAACATGGGCCCAGGGTGGCCAGATCCTCTAATTTCCCAAGAGAAGCCAGCAATTTGGAACTCTTCTGGTTTTTAAATACTGGCTCAATATATATGCACATATTTTCATGCTCACAGGACTTTATGGAGGTATAATTTACATACAGTAAAATGCGCAAATCTTAAGTGTATAACTTGATGAATTTTGACAGCTCAAATATTTTTAAAACACTGGAGGGTCCAAGAAAATATGTTGTCCATGGGGTGCATCTGGCCGTGGACCCACCATCCATGGCCCCCAGTCTCGTGTGTCGTGTGACCCCCGTGAACGAGGTGGGACACACATGTGCAGGGAGCACACATGGCAGTATCCCATGGGGAGGGGCAGGCTTTGGCAAGAGCCCAGTGATCATGCATCATCCCTTTACTCACACAGCGCAGAGAACAGGCTCTGGAGCCCGGGCTGGAAATCCGAGCTCTGCCACTTGCTGTGTGACTTTGCACACGTTTCCCCACCTCTCTGAAGGCTCATTTTCCCCATCTGTGAAATGAGGAAGAGAAGGATACGGACCCCAGGGCTCTTGCACAGATTCACTGAACTGACATGATAAGCACTGAGAAAAAGTCCCGGGTGCTATTGCCTTTTTTTTTTTTTTTTTTTTTTTAAATTAATAGACCCTTTTTTTGTTTTTTTTTTTTTTTTTTTAGTGGGGTTGGAGACAGAGTCTCACTCTATTGCCCAGGCAGGAGTGCAGTGGCATAATCTCGGCTCACTGCAACCTCTGCCTCCCAGGTTCAGGTGATTCTCCTGCCTCAGCCTCCTGAGTAGCTGGGATCACAGGCACGCGACACCATGCCCAGCTAATTTTTGTATTTTTAGTAGAGACAGGGTTTCACCATGTTGGCCAGGCTGGTCTCAAACTCCTGACCTCAGGTGATCAGCCTGCCTTGAGCCTTCCAAAGTGCTGGGATTACTGGCATGAGTCACTACGCCCAGCCTAGACCCTATTTTTTAGAGCAGTTTTATTTGGGCTTAGAGAGAATTTGAGCAGAAAGTATAGGGAGTTACCATAGACTCCCTCTTCCCCCACCCCAATTCCCCGATGACTAACATCTCACATTAGCGTGTGGTGCATTTGTTACCGTGATGAACCAGTGTCAAGACACAATTATTCACTATAGTCCATACTTTACGTGAGGGGCCACTCTTTGTGTTGCAAAGTTCTAGGGGCTTTGACAAATGCATGATGTCATGTACCCACCATCACAGTGTCACATAGGACGGTGTCACTGCCATCGGGAATATTTCTTAGTTCTCATGGCTGCTACAAAAAAAAAGGCCAAAGTGGCTGACAAAGAGCTCCTGGTGGGAGCCCACCCCCTTTCCCTTCCACTCAGGGAATCACAGCACATTCAGGTGACAGAAGGGACATTTTAGGGGTGAACCTGAGTTTGTTCTGAATTACCCAAAATGGAAGCCACTTGCCCACTTCAGGTGTGGGGGTGGGGGTGTCACACAGATTCCAGCCCCAAATTCCTTACCACACAACTGGCTCTGAGTCCAAAGACAGCCCCCCGCCCCCCAATTCACACCCTGCCTTGGCCCCTCGTGTGTGTATATTGGAGCCGCCTTCTCAGCCTCTCTGGGCCTCTAAAACAAGAGGACCCAGGGCTGCCCCTGGGAGCGTTTGGAGGCTCAGATGCGCTAATTCCCGTGAAAGGTCTTTGTAAGCTATAAAAAGCTCTAGATTAAAATTGGAAGGTATTATGATTATAATCAGTTAGGCAGAAAAACTGAACTGTTGGCAAAACGAGCCTGGCCTTCGGAGGCTGAGCCTTGGGAAGACATCCTCATCAGTTGCACACAGGGGGCTGGTGGCAATTGTCTGTGGTTTGTTCCTCTGGGAGGAGGTGGCCCAAAAGACACACAGCTGGAAACTGCTTCTGGCTGGAATGGCAAGGTCAGAGCCGGAGCACCCACTCTAGGTTGTTCCTGCGTGCATGACCTGCCAGCCACATGCCAAGCAGCGTGGGGCCATGCTTGTGGCATCAGCAGCTCCCAAAAAGAGAAAACTGGACATAGATGCTTCCCAGAGCCCATGAAAGTGGATCTGGATTCCCAGCTTCATGTACTGGCCACACCCCAGGCAGGGCAGGAAACATAACTTCTGCCCTGGTCTCATCTCCATATATGACCATACAAAGAATTGATACTGCAGCTTTCGGCTCATTATATGAGCGTATAGTGTATTTTTTTTAATACCCAAAAGCGAAATTTATTTGCAAGGCGCTAAAGAAAGCCTCCTGTCCCTTTTATGCCAGGAGCCCTCGGAAGAGAAGAGAAATTGTGGATTTACTGCTAAAAAAAGCCCTGGCTTATACAATTTTAACAATAGAAAAATGATCTTTGTGCTTCGGTGCATGGATGCTTCGAGGAAAACAGGCAGTCTGTTCAGGTAGCTGGTGAATTACAAATGAGTGATTCCCCTTTGTTTTGAGTGACAAGCAATTTAAATGCAGTCTTACGTGGAGGCCTGGAAATTGTTTTTCCCCCAGAAGAGAGAGAACGAGAGGAAAAGGAAAAGGGAAAAAAGCTTCCTTTTGGAACTGAGCGATTATATTAGTTGCCACCGAGCGGAGGTGAGAAGTTAGAACTTCATTTGATAATTATAAAATCAGCAGTTTGTGATTGGACATAATTGATGATTACACTGTTGCTAATAGCAGGCCTGCCAGCCATTGCTTGTGGGACATTTCATTTTTGCACTGCTTCCAAGCCGTGAAAGCCAGCCTGGCACGGAACACCACTCGCGGTATCTCCGGGAGCCTGACATAAATGCATTTGGGGGATTGTATTATGTTGGATCAAAAGTGTTCTTAATGCCGACATTTGAAAACACTTTGCTCTGTGCCTTATTTTTACCCTGGGAATAATTACAAATATTAGAATAAAATTGCATGGTGTTCCTCTTCCTGCAGACCCTCCCCTCAGCCAGAGCCTGGGTGGGTAGGTGGGCTTCCTAGGTCTTGCACTGGCCTCATTAAAATCCCAGCGGTGGTCCAGAGGGGTGCAGGGGATGTTCATGTGAGGACAAGACAATATCTGTCTGTCTCTCTGTCTCTCTATCTGTCTGTATGGGCCAGGATTACAAGGCTCACACGTGTAATCCCGGCGCTTTAGGAGGTCAAGGCAGGAGGATCACTTGAGGCTAAGAGTTCAAGACCAGCCTGGGCAACATAGCAAGACCCCACCTCTACAAAAAAAGAAAACGAAAATATTAGCCAGGCATGGTGGCGTGTGCCTGTAGTCCCAACTACTTGTGAGGCTGAGGCAGGAAGATCGCTTGAGCCCAGGAGTTTGAGGCCACAGTGAGCTATGATGGCACCACACCACTGCACTCCAGCCTGGGTGACAGAGTGAGACCCCATCTCTAAAAGATATGTATATTATATCTGCCTTGGTGAATTAGAATCTAGAATCAATGCACAACTGAGTTTGAAGGAGCCTTCGGCCCATAGCCCAGCACCTTCACTTTACAGATGGGGAAACTGAGGCTCTGAAAGGGAAAATGACTGCCCAAGGTGAATGGGGATGCAGGCCCCAGTTAAAACCAGAACCCAGGTCTCCTCACCCCCAGGCTAGTTTCTCCTCTTTCCTACCCTGCTATTTGCTTCCTCAAGACAAGTGCTGGGACTTCTGGGGCACATCCTGGGCCTCTGTCCCCTCCCTACCAGGGAGCTTGCAAGAGGTCTCCACAGAGCAGTCAGGACCTCAGCTGAGTTTGAGCTACTAGGAGGGCATCATTCTCCACTGTTCTCTGGGAAGCCTCGGGGTTTTAGGTAAGTTTGGCAGCTTGGCAGGATTAGCTCAGGGAGGCTCTTAAGTTCCTTCCTTATATTATTCATGGTTTGTTCATTCAGTCAGTGTTGGTTTATTGCCCACTCTGTGCCCAGCCCCGCCTGGGCTCTGAGGGAGAAAAATGTTAATGTCATAGCAGGAGCCATTGAAGATCATCTAGTAGGCCAGGCGTAGTGGCTCACACCTGTAATCCCAGCAATTTGGGAGACTGAGGCAGGAGGATCACATGAGCCCAGGAGTTCCAGACCAGTGTGGGCAACATAGGGAGACCCCCATCTCTAAATGAATGAATGAATGAATGATTATCCAGTTGTTAAAGCCCCAAGCTGTGGAGTCATCCGTGGCCCCTCTGTTGCTTTTATGCCTCCAACATCCACTCTGTGTTCCCAAGGAGCAAATCCTGTGGCTCGACCTTCACAATCCCAGAATCCTAGCACCACTGCCACCATCCTGCTCTGAGCCGCCTGGGTTGTTCTCCTGGAACTCGGCAGGAGCCACTTCCCTGGTCTCCCTGTTTCCACCCCAGACCCTCAGTCCCTTCTCCGCACAACAGCCAGATGGGTCCTGTTAAAACGCGTGTCAGATCACATGAATCTGCTCTCCTCTGCACAAAACCCTCCCGTGGCTCCTCAGACCCCTTGGAGAAAAAGACTGGGCCCTCGCAGTGACCCCCAGGGCTCTTCCCCCCGACTCACCTCCCGACCCCCTTTCTTCTTCCCCTTCGTCTACCATCTCCCGCCACACCAGCCTCTCTGCTGGCATTCAAACAAGCCAGACAGCCCCTGCCCCAGGGCCTTTGCACCTGCCGTTCTCGCTGTCTGCAATACTCTTTCCCAAAGCTCCCCACGACGCCTTCCCCTCCTGTGGCCCCACATGCCCTGCCCAGGACTCCTGTCACCTCCCTACTCCATTCTCCTCCCCTGCACTTGACGACTGTCCCACATTCTCTTTCATGATTTATTTCATTGCTCGCCTCTGCCTCTAAACATGTCAGCTCCACAGAGGTAGGTGTTTGCGCCAGTCTTGCTTGGTGCTGAATGCCCAGTACCTAGAACAGCCCCATCCCTAGGAGATGCCTGATTAATATCTGTTAAGCAAATAAATGTATTAGGCATCTGTGATGGGTCAAGCACCGTCTTAATGCTTTGCATGTATGATTTTATTTTTATTTCATTTATAAAATACTGTTTTTTTAGAAACAGCCTTTTTTTTTTTTTTGAGATGGAGTCTCACTCTGTTTCCTCAAAAGTAGTTGTGGTTTTTGCCATTTTTGTTTTGTTTTGTTTTTGTTTAGTAGAAACGGAGTTTCACTATGTTGGCCAGGCTGGTCTCGAACTCCTGACCTCAGGCGATCCACCAGCCTCAGCCTCCCAAGGTACTGGGATTGCAGGTGTGAGCCACCATGCCCAGCCATATTCAATTTTTTTAAATGTTAGTCTCTACCCTTGGGATGCCCACTGGCTAGTTGAGGAAATGGAGCAGTGTTTGGATAGAAGCTAGCATTCCTGCAGCCCTGATGTCAGCAGATGCTGACGGATGCGTGGGTGCCCTGTGTTCAGAGGTAGGGATGCTCAGAATCCAGACCAAGCACAAACACCTCCTTTCACTAAAACACAAACACAAATCAGGGTGCCTGGTGCTTCTCCAGACATCCCTAAGGATCACTATGTATTTAGGCACTGGGGGAGGGCTGGCTTGATTCCCTGGGCATGCACATAGTAGGTGCTCAGTATGCACCATCTGCTGCTGTTGCAGAGTTGCTGTGCACCCCGTGCCCATCATCATTGCAGGTTGAGGCATAGAGGGCAGAATCTGGAAGCTGGACCTGCACATCTGAGGAGAGGGGGCCTCAGAGCTCAAGCTCTGAATCACTGACTTACACATGAGGGTTCAAAATGAATTAATGACTTCCACCTGTGAGTTCAGAATGAATTAGTGACTTACACCTGTGAATTCAAACTGAGTGACTTACACCTGAATGCTCAAAACGATTTAATGACTGACACTTGAGGGTCCAAAAATGAATTCGTGACTTATACCTGAAAGTTCAAAAGGAATTAATGACTTACACCTGAGGGTTCAAAATGAATTAGTGACTTACCCCTAAGGATTCAAAATGAATTAGTGACTTACACTTGGGAATTCAAAATGAATTAGTGATTTACATCTGAGAAGGCAAAACAATGACAATGACAGGTGGCCAAATGCGTTAATTCTGTTCCAGCCAAGCAGTCTTTTTTTTTCCTTTTTGAGACGGAGCCTTGCGCTGTCACCCAGGCTGGAGTGCAGTGGCACGATCTTGGCTCACTGCGACCTCTGCCTCCCGGGTTCAAGAGATTCTACTGCCTTAGCCTCCTGAGTAGCTGAGATTACAGGTACTCTCCTAATATTTGTATTTTTAATAGAGACGGGGTTTCACATGTTGGCCAGGCTGGTCTCGAACTCCTGACCACAGATGATCCCTCCGCCTCGGCCTCCCAAAGTGCTGGGATTACAGGCGTGAGCCACCGCACCCAACCTTAATCAGTCTTTAGAACCAGCTAGTGCTGGCTCCTGAAACAGGCTAGGATGGGGCCTCTCTGGGACCCCTGGGTGACCCTCCAGAGGGCCAGAGAGGGTCTCCAATTTCTGCCCCATTTTAGCAGGAGACTGAGAACCCAGTTTGACAACAGTAGCTATCAAAAACAAAAGTCAAACTTATTTCTTATTTAATCCCTGACATTAAAATGTAATTTTCATTTGCTCAGCGGCATCACTGATGGATGGCAGAGAGCACGTTAGCACTCGCCAGGGAACGGGGGCCCCAGCAGACACACCTGGAGGCAGGCAGGGTTGAGTCCTGCAGCTCCTCCTGGCCTCCCGTCCCCCACCTACCTGCCGGCCTGGCTCCTCCAGCTCTTTTGGTTATTCCAGGTGCTTCCACCAGCCCCCAACCAAAGAATCGATTCTGAGTGGAGGCTGAGAAGCATGGGCTTTGCTGTCAGACTAAGCTGCCTCTGAGTCTCAGCTCCCAGCACCATGTGGCCATCACCCTCTGTGCCTCGACATCTTCATCTGTTAAATGGGATAGTCACACCCGCAGCGTGATGAGGGTTAAGCTAATGTGCATCCAGTACATAGCACAGTGCCTGGCACAGAGTCAGTGCTCAGTAGTCACTGTTATCATCAATAATAATGCACAAATCAGCCAATCGAAGTAGCTGTTACCCCCATTTTCCGGGTGGTAGGAAATCAGAAGGGTGCTGTAAAGAAAAGGGATCTTTCACAGGGACTGTCAGAGTGAGTGGGAACCCTCAGGATAGTCTAGCCAGACCTCCCCACATGTGGGTCTCCCTGAGTACCTTTACAGCCTCACAGATACAGGGGCATGTACTTGGATGCCTCCCCTGGTGGGGAGCTCAGTACCTCCCACCCAGACCCCAAAGCACCCCTGAGTGGTCAACAGGAGCCCCTCCCCCTCTGGTACATCTGAGCAAGTCTCGGCCCTGCTTCATGGCTTCCAGGGGTTCTCATCGCTCCTCTCCACGGCCCATCGGCCCCTACCCACCGCACCAAACCTATCTCCCACCACAGCCCCCCTAGCTCTCCATGGCCCTCCTTTCTTCTCTGAGCCCCCCTCGTACTCTTGCCTCTCTTTGCCTTCTGTGTGGCCCCCTGATCTGCATGCCCTAAAGGAACAACCAGCCTTCAGAGGCCATCAAGGGACACCCCTTCCCCTCTGAACCCAGCTCATTCCTTCATTCCCCGATCTCTGGGTTGCCTTTCCATTGCCCGAGTTCATTCTGAGACCCTCCAAGCACCTGCCTCCTCTCGCTTGTCCACCAGTCTTCAGCTTCTTCTGGAATTCCTGCCACATCAGACGTCCACCCCCCATCATCTCTCAGAATCACCCTACCCTCTCCAGAGCCCAGGACCCAGTGGTAGAGGGAGGCTGCTCTCAAAGTATGTTCCACGGAACCCAGGGAAGGAGTTGTGCAGTCTCGATGGCAGGTCCCCCTTTTCATGCCCACAGCACTTGGAGAAGCACAGTTTGCAGCTGCAAGTCTGGGCCCTGGAGTGAGAGGCACCTGGGCACCGATACCACCTCTGCCACTAACTAGTGCTCTCATCTTAGCCAAGTGACTTAACATCCCTGCCCCTTAGTTTCTTTCTTCCTCTGTAGAACAGGGCCGGTCACAATGCTCACATCCTAAAGGTGTGCTTGGGGGAAGGCGGGGATTTCAAAGAAGATGCCTGGAGCACATAGTAAGGCTTAGAACTTGGCACAGAGTGGTTCTCAGTGGCTCCCAGATGTCCCTGCGACCTCAGACAGCTTGGTGGAGCTCAGCCTAGGGGAGGGGGCCCAAATTTTCTGTTTTTAACCACCTGGCTGAAAAGAGCTATGTGGCTAGAACAGGCTTGACTCGCCCCTGGCAGAAGCAGTTCTACACCTGCTGCGTTCATCCTCGGGGGACTAAACACATTGTCACCCCTCGTATCACAGTGGGCTGCGTAAATGCCATGTGCTTCCACAGATGCTGAGCTATTCCTGACAGTGACCTTCTTGAGGGTGTCTGTGGATGGTCTCCACCTCCTCCCTCTTCCCTCCTCCTCCCTCTCCTTCCTCCCCCTCCCACTTCTTCCTCCCCTTCCCTTTTCCCCCTCCTCCTCCCTTTTCCTCTTCCTCCTCCTCCTCCCTCTTCCTCCCACTTCTTCCTCCTCCTCCCTCTTCCTCCCCTTCCTCCTCTTCCTCCTCCGCTTCCTCCTCCTCCTCCCACTTCTTCCTCCCCCTCCCACTTCTTCCTCCCCCTCCCACTTCTTCCTCCCCCTCCCACTTCTTCCTCCCCCTCCCACTTCTTCCTCCCCCTCCCACTTCTTCCTCCCCCTCCCACTTCTTCCTCCCCCTCCCTCTTCTTCCTCCTCCCTCCTTCTCCTCCTCTTTCCTCTTCCTCCTCCTCCCCTTCACTCTTCCTCCTCCTCCTCTTTCCTCTCCCTCCTCCTTCTCCTCCTCACTCTTCCTCCTCCCTGCTCTTCCTCCTCCCTCTTCCTCCTCCTTCCTCCTCCTCCCTCTTCCCCCCTCTTCCTCCCTCCTCCTTCCCCTTCCTCCTCATTCTCCATCTTCCTCCTCTTCCTCTTCCTCCTCTTTCTTCTCCTCTTCCTCCCTCTTTCTCCCCTTCCTCCATCCTCCTCCTCCTCTTCCTGTCTTTTTCTCCTCCTTTCCACATGGCCTTCAAGGGTGTTCCTGTCATAGGGCAAATCTGTCATTCTGGGCACTTTGCTGCTGCCCTTCTGTGTGGTTGGGCAGAGCCATGAGACAGAAACACACAGCCTTTTATTGAACATGGCCTTTTATGCCAAGCTCACTTGTTCTCAGCATGTGGGTGAAATGCATTGAGTTTCAGCCCTTGGAAAAGATATCCTATGTGATTAGAAGAAGAATTTTCTGATTTATTTGAAAGCTTTCATCAGCTTCCATGGGACTCTTTGCTGCATGTTAGCTCATCCTGCCCCAACAGCTTTGTAGGCAGGTAGAGGTTATTCTTCCCACTTGATGCACGGACAAACTGGGGCCAAGAGATGCTCATAGTGACATTAGGCCCAGTACCAGGTCAGGCTCTGATGCCATCAGGAATTTAAGGACCGCGGTGGCTCACGCGTGTAATCCCAGCACCTTGGGAGGCCAAGGCGGGCGGATCACCTGATGTCAGAAGTTTGAGACCAGACTGGCCAACATGGTGAAACCCCGTCTCTACTAAAAGTATAAAAATTAGCCAGGCGTGGTAGTGCATGCCTGTAATTCCAGCTACTCAAGAGGCTGAGGCAGGAGAATCACTTGAACCTGGGAGGTGGAGGTTGCAGTGAGCTGAGATTGCGCCACTGCACTCCAACCTGGGCGACAGAGCAAGACTCCATCTCAAAAAAAAAAAAAAAAAAAGAGGAATTTAGGGACCTGGCCTTCCACAGACAGCCAGTCATTGCCTTGAAACGAGACTGAATGAGGCAGGAAATCTACACGGCTCCTGTCTTTGAAAGTCCGTTGACTTTGGGAAGCCCTAAACATGAACTGATTCACACTGAGTGCCAGTCCAGGATTTCTTTTGATTGTAAAGATAGAGTCTCATTCTATTGCTCAGGCTGATGTGCAGTGGTGTGATCACAGCTCACTGCAGCCTCGAACTCCTGGGCTCAAGCGAGTCTCCTACTTCAGCCTCCTGAGTAGCTAGGACTGCAGGGGTGCACCACCACACCTGACTAATTTTTTCAGGATTATTTTTCTTTTTTTGAAACAGGGTCTTTTTCTGTTGTCCAGGCTAGAGTGCAGTGACACAAGTGCACTTAGAGTGCATTGCAGCCTAAACCTCCCAGACTCAAGTGATCCCCCTTTCTCAGCCTCCCAAGTAGCTGGGACCACAGGTGTAGACCACCACACCCAGCTGTGTGTGTGTGTGTGTGTGTGTGTGTGTGTGTGTGTGTGTTTGTGTGTGTGTGTGGAGATAGGGTCTTGCTATGTTGCCAGGCTGGTCTTAAACTCCTGGACTCAAGTGATCCTCCCACCTTGGCCTCCCAAGTGCTGAGATTATAGGTGTGAGCCACTGTACCTGGCCTCAGGATAATTTCTTATCTCTGTTTTTAAAAATATTATCCAGCTGTTAGATGAACCCCTAAAGCAAGGATCAGCTAACTTTTTTCTGTAAGGGGCCAGATAGAAAATATTTTTAGTCTCGCGGGCCACAAAGTCTCTTTCACAACTACACAACTCTGTCCTTGTAACATAAAAGCAGCCATAGACACGTAAAACAGTGACCATGCCTTTGTTCCAATAAAACTTTATTTACACAAACAGATGAAGGGCCAGATTCACACCAAGGACCAAAGATTGCCAACCATTGATCCATGAGATCAACAGTGTCCAGCAGGAAAAGAACACAAGCCACATTTGTAATTTAAAATTTCTAGTAGTTACAATTTAAAAAGTAAGAAGTGTAGCTGGACGCAGTGCCTCACACCTGTATTCCCATCACTTTGGGAGGCTGAGGCAGGCAAATCACTTGAGATCAGGAGTTCAAGACCAGCTTGAGCAATATGTTGAAACCCCGTCTCTACTAAAAATACAAAGATTAGCCAGGTGTGTGGTGCACATCTGTAATTGCAGCTACTCTGCACTCCAGCCTGGGTGACAAAGTGAGACTCTGTCTCAAAAAAAAAAAAAAAAAAGAAATTAAGAAGTGGGTGAATTTAATTTTAATAATATATTTTATTTAGCCTGATATGTTCATAACACTAGCATTTCAAAATGTAATCAATATAAAAATTATTGGCTTTGGGAGGCCGAGGCGGGTGGATTGCCCGAGCTCAGGAGTTTGAGACTGGCCTGGGCAACATGGTAAAACCCTGTCTCTACTAAAATACAAAAAAATTAGCCAGGCGTGGTGGTGGGCACCTGTAATCCCAGCTACTCAGGAGGCTGAGGCAGGAGAATTGCTTGAACCTGGGAGGCAGAGGTTGCAGTGAGCCGAGATCACACCACTGCACTCCAGCCTAGGCAATACAGCGAGACTGTCCAAAAAAAATTTTTTTTTAATTATTGCCGGGCGCGGTGGCTCACACCTGTAATCCCAGCACTTTGGGAGGCCGAGGCGGGCAGATCATGAGGTCAGGAGCTCGAGACCATCCTGGCTAACACGGTGAAACCCCGTCTCTACTGAAAATACAAAAAATTAGCCAGGCATGGTGGCGGGCGCCTGTAATCCCAGCTACTCGGGAGGCTGAGGCAGGAGGATGGCGTGAACCCAGAAGGTGGAGCTTGCAGTGAGCCAAGATCGTGCCACTGCACTCCAGCCTGGGCTACAGAGCGAGACTCTGTCTCAGGAAAAAAAAAAAAGTATTGGGGTATTTTACATTCCTTTTTCTTTCTTAGACTTAGAAATGCTATATTTTACACTTACAACCCATCTCAGTTTGAAATCGTTGCATTTCAAGTGCTCAGTAGCACATGGACCGGTGGCTGCCTTATTGAACAGCTCCGCTCCAGTGGGGAAAACTTAAGACCAAAACTGTCATCCTCCTTATAATGTTAGATTTAGTCTTCCCCACTGGAAGAGATAAATCATGGACCATTATACACTGATAAGTGCCATGAAGGGAAAGTAGGGGGTGCTCTAGGCAGGGACAGGGAAACATTAAAGGAATCTTCCAGCACTTGTCCCCACCCTTGCTCAGTCTCTCATTGGAGGCCAGTGCCTTTCCTCAGACCCCAGCCACCACATGCACTCAGCTCAGGCAACCGTAAAATGGAACATTGAGTCATTCTTCTGGCTGGTCTTTGATAATTCTCCTTCTAAGACCCATGAGATGAATTGCTTTTGTTTCTCATTGTTTTCTTGGGTGCCAAGTCACCAGCACCGCAGCCTCTCGCCCAGGGCAGCTGTAGTTGGCTTGTAAGGCAGCGGCATCCTCATGGGCTCTGAACACCCGGCCCCACTGGCTGGGGTAATTTTTCTATCCAGGACAAAAGGAAGGCAGCATTTGAATTCAGAGTGGCAATTTGAATCCCCAGACCTGGTGTGAATCTTGGCCCTGCCATTTGCTAACCGGGTGACCTTGGGCAAGTGGCTTGACGTCCTTGAGCCTCCGTTTTCTAATCTGTATGATGGGGCAGGTGGCAGCAGCCATTCGGTGATTGATGTGTCCGTGGAGACAGACTCTCATGAATAGTAAAAGCTTCTGGCACACAGTAAACGGTCGATGCCATTTGTTTTTATTAGCCCATCAGGGATGCCCCCCGCCCCCGCCCCAAGATTCTGAATGAATTGCCCCCTCCTCAGGGCTCACAGGAGCCACCAGTGTTTGCACCTCCTCCTGTGCATTTGTTTTGTTTGTAAAGATAGGGTCTCATTCTATTGCCCAGGCTGGTGTGCAGTGGTTACGCTTCCTACTGGCCATAGCTGTGTCTCCCACTCAATTGCATGTCCCCAGAAACTCACTCTTGTCCATCTAAGCAAGGACAAAAATCTACCCACAGGGCCAGGCGCAGTGGCTCATGCCTGTAATCCCAGCACTGTGGGAGGCCGAGGTGGGCAGATCACTTGAGGTGAGGAGTTCGAGACCAGCCTGGCCAACATGGCGAAACCTCATGTCTACTAAAAATACAAAAAAATTAGCCAGGTATGGTGGCGGGTGCCTGTAATCTCAGCTACTTGGTAGGCTGAGGCTGAGGAGAATTGCTGGAACCCAGAAGGCAGAGGTTACAGTGAGCCAAGATTGTGCCACTGCACTGCAGCCTGGGCAACAGAGAAAGACTCTGTCTCTAAATAAATAAATAAATAAAATTTAAATTTAAAAAAGACCTACCTACAGCTTGGTGATTTTCCCTTTGTCTAGCTTCTAGAACTTTTTTTCTGCCCTCCCCCAAGTGACTTCCCCTTCTCAGGGAGATAATTCCTGATGTTCTGTTACCAAACTGGGTCAGCCTCCCCCCAATTTACACACTCCCAAGGCCACCCTGTGCTTTTCTGCCAAGCGTTTAGCACTTGTAATTAATGAGTCATCTGGGGAAGCTGCCTTAATGCCAGTGTCCCCACCGGACTGTAAGTCCCATAAGGGTGGGACATGAGTCTGCCTTATTCATGGCTGGGTTCTCAGCCCACAGTGCTTGGTGCATAGCAGGTGCTCAGGAAACATTTGTTGAGGGAATGAGAGACTGTCATCCATGCTGGAAGGTGAGAGACCAGGGACTTTCTCAGACTAACAATGAGAGAAATTACAGAGATTTTGTAATGGATCTTTTTTTTTTTTTTTTTAAGATAGGGTCTCACTCTATTGCCCAGGCTGAAGTGCAGTGGTGCAATCATAGCTCATGGCAGCCTCGAAATCCTGGCCTCAAACAATCCTCTTACCTCAGCCTCCTGAGTAGCTGGGACAACAGGCACGAGCCACCCTGCCTGGCTAATTTTTTTATCTTTTGTAGAAACAGGGTCTCACTATGTTGCTCAGGCTGGTTTCGAACTCCTGAGCTCAAACAATCCTCCCGCC
Source organism: Homo sapiens (assembly GCF_000001405.40). NCBI lineage: Eukaryota > Metazoa > Chordata > Mammalia > Primates > Hominidae > Homo > Homo sapiens. Next base: position 111,262,629 of record NC_000012.12, read on the forward strand.
TCAGCCTCCCAAAGCACTGGGATTAAAGGCATGAGTCAGCACTCCCAGCCTAAAACTAACCTTTTTTAATCACTTTAATCACCAATACATTTCCACCTCTTTTAAAGAGGGTAATTCTGTTACCCTCCAACATTTGTTAAAGTTGTTTGATATCTTACGAGAGCTTTAACAATTTCTCTTTCATTTTTAGTGGCAAGAAATATTCTCTAGACGTGTCCCACTTTCCTCCTAAAACATGTATCATATTTGAACTTCCAGTCTACCCTTTACTAATAAGAAGAATAACAGGTGTCACCAACACACCGTGTGCCGGGCCCTGTGCTTAGCACTTAGGTGCGGCTCCATTTAATCCCAACAGGAGGTAGGTCCTGTTATTTACCCCGCATTTTACAGATGAAGAAACTGAGAATCAGAGAGGGGCAGTGCAAGGTCACACAGCCTGCACACAGTGGAGCTGGGCTTTCAACCCAGATTTTCTAACTCCAGAGCCCACACTTTTAACCTTCATTTCTCCTTCTTGCCCCTCCCCTATCCCATGTTTGCACAAGTAGAAAATGACTAAGGCCAGGTGCGGTGGTGGCCTGTAATCCCGGCACTTTGGGAGGCCGAGGCAGGGGAATCGCAGGAGGTCGAGACAAGCCTGGGCAACCTGTAGCAAGACCCCATCGCTTAAACAAACAAGAAAAAAAATACATGGCCAGCCATGGTGGCTCATGCCTGTAATCCCAGAACTTTGGGAGGCCAAGGTGGGCAGATAACCTGAGGTCAAGAGTTTGAGACCATCCTGGCCAACGTGGTCAAACCGTCTCTACCAAAAGTACAAAAAAATTAGCTGGGCATGGTGGCAGGCACCTGTAGTGGTAGCAGGCACCTGTAATCCCAGCTACTCAGGAGGCTGAGGCAGAAGAATTACTTGAACCCAGGAGGCGGAGGTTACAGTGAGCTGAGATCATTCTATGGCACTCCAGCCTGGGCGACAGAGCAAGACTCTCTCTCAAAAACAAAACAAAACAAAACAAAACAAAACAAAAAACCTGCAGATGTTTTCTTGTGGAAAAAAAAAATGATGAAATTTGCTTGCAGACACAGATGCCATGGTTACACGTGACTCTTTCTCTTGTTGTCTCCAAAGGTGGTGGCCCTTAGTAAGAGAAGTCAGGAGGCGGAGGCTGCTTTTCTGAGTGTTTACAAGCAATTAATTGAAGCACCAGGTAAGAAATGCTTGGGCTCCGTAATTGAATAGTTAACGACAATAAATAGCCATTAGGACTGTGACACAGGGACTTTGAGGTGGGATGTGGGGACATGCCTGGGCTCCTGGGTGAGGCCAGGCACTCTGTATAGGGCAGGGGGAGCTGTGGCCAGTCTGGTGTGACATGTCCCCCCAGGGCTCCCCCCATCTTCCTTCATCATGTTGTCACATCAGCCAGGAGCCTGCTTTAGGGGGACTCCTGATGAGATATCCCACCTGGACCTACTTGGGGAGCTGAAATCTTACCCACTAGAGCCCCCATCCCATTAGCACAGAAGACTGAGGGCACCCAGTGCTCTCTGCCTGCAGGTGGCAATAGAGGCAAGACCTCCAGTACCTCCCCCAGAATGGCACAGCCAACCCCAAAAATCTGCTGTTGAGTAAAAGCCAGCCCCAGAAGAGCACATCCTGTAGGATTCCACCTACAGAAAATCTAAAAACAGACAATTAATGTTACTCAGTGGTCAAAAGGGGGAAGCAATCCATATGGCCATCAATGGATGGATGCATAAACAAAATGTGGCCTAGACTTACAAGGGAGTATTACTCCCTTTCCATGAAAAGGCATGGAGGGCCGGGTACAGGGGATCACGCCTGTAATCTCAGCACTTTAGGAGGCCGAGGTGGGCCGATCACCTGAGGTCAGGAGTTCGAGACCAGTCTGGCCAACCCAGCGGTTTTAGTAGAAATCCCATCTCTACTAAAAATACAAAAATTAGCCAGGTGTGGTGGTGGGCACCTGTAATCGCAGCTGCTCGGGAGGCTGAGACAGGAGAATCGCTTGAACCCAGAAGGTGGAGATTGCAGTGAGCTGAGATCATGCCTGCACTCCAGCCTGGATGACAGAGCAAGACTGTCCTCTGTCTCAAATAAAAAAGGAATGGAGCTGTGATATGTGCTTCAGTGAAGATGAACCTCGAAAACACAGTGCTGAGTGAAGGAAGCCAGAAACCAAGGCCACATAGTGTAGGATTTCATTTACATGAAACATCCAGAACAGGCAAGCCGTAGATAAGAGTCGATTGTTGGTTGCCCGGGGCTGGGGAGGGAGATTGGAGAGTGACTGCTTAATCGGTATGAGTTTCTTTTTGGGGGATAAAAATATTCTGGAACTAAGTGAACAAGTGGTTGTAGAACATCAAGAATGTACTAAATGTCATTGAATTGTTCACGTTAAAATGATAAATTTTCTGTTGTATGAATTTCACCTTAATTGAAAAAAAAAGTCAACCTGTACTATTGGAAATCAAGATAGTGGTTTCAAACACTTGAAGGGGGCCAAGAGTTCCTGGGAGGGGCCTCTGGGTGCTGGGACTGTGGTTTCTCGGTCCTGGTTTGGGTTACAGTTTGAGAACATTTGGTTGTACACAAAGGATCTATACATATGCCAGACATCCATAAAAGCTTCCCCTATTTTATTTTATTTTATTTTTATTTTATTTTATTTTATTTTATTTTATTTTATTTTATTTTATTTTTGAGACAGGGTCTTGCTCTGTTGCCCAGGCTGGAGTGCAGTAGCGCGATCTCAGCTCACTGCAACCTCCGCCTCCCGGGTTCAAGCAATTCTCCTGCCTCAGCCTCCCGAGTAGCTGGGATTACAGGCATGCACCACCATTCCCGGCTAATTTTTTGTATTTTTAGTAGAGACAGGGTTGCCCTATGTTGGCCAGCCTGGTCTCAAACTCCTGGCCTCAAGTGATCCGCCCACCTCAGCCTCCCAAAGTGCTAGGATTACAGATGTGAGCCACCGCACCCGGCCAAAACTTTCCCTTGTTTTAAATGGCCCATCCCCTGCTACCTTCTCATTTACTGACCCAGAAACAGGAGCCCAAAGAGTTGAAATGATCTGCTTACCAATGGCAGAGCCCGGAGGAGGCCTTGCTGTGCTAACTCTCCCCACCCAGACCTCTCCCAGTCCTTTCCCCCATCCTTCCACACAGTGGCAGGAATCAGCACTACGGGAGGTGTTTGAGGCTGGGGGCCTGTGAAGAGGAAAATGACATCCCACCCTCAGCTGTCCGACTGCAAAACCCAAACCACAGAGAACACAGAGTCATTTAGATTAGATGTCAAGGTCATTTCTGGGATCTTTGTATTTGGGGTGGGAAAGTCCACTGTTCCTCTGTCTGGGGCAACTGTAGTGGGTTGGATAGTGTGGCCTCCAAAATTTATGTCTACGTAGAACTTCAAAATATGACCTTATTTGAAAATAAGTCTTTGCAGATGTAATTAGCTAAGGATCTCAAGATGAGATCATCCTGGCTTTAGGGTGAGCCCTAAATCCAATGACTGGTGTTGTAAGAAGTATGGGGCCAGGCACAGTGGCTCAAAGCCTGTAATCCCAGCACTTTGGGAGACAGAGGCAGGAGGATCACTTGAGGTCAGAAGTTCAAGACAACCCTGGTCAACATGGGGAAACCCCATGTCTACTAAAAATACAAAAATTAGCCAGGTGTGGTAGCCTGTATTCCCAGCTACTCAAGAGGCTGAGGCAGGAGAATCGCTTGAACCCAGGAGGCGGAGGTTGCAATGAGCCGAGATCACAACACTGCACTCCAGCCTGGGTGACAGAGCAAGACCCTGTCTCAACAAAAAAAAAAAAAAAAGAGACGAGGGTACAGAGATAGCCACTGAGGAAAGCTGTGTAAAAACAGAGGCACGGTGGAAATGATGTAGCTACAAGGCAAGGAGCACCAAAGATTGCCAGCAACCATGAGAAACTGGGAGAGACAAGAAGGATCCTTCCCTAGAGTCTTCAGAAGGAGTACAGCCCTGCCAGTGTCTTGATGTTGGACTTATGGTCCCCAGAACTACAAGACAATAAGTGTCTGTTGTTTTCAGCCCCCAGTTGGTGGTGCTTTTCTACTGCAGCGCTGGGACACTAATCCAGCAATGCTGACAAAGCTTGCCCTCCGACAGCGTGTGGCCTGGATGAAGAGGGAGGTCTTCTGGCCTGTTGCTACTCAAAGTGTGGTCTGTGGACCAGAAACATCAGCCTCACCTGCAAGCTGGTTAGAAATGCAGAGGCTCAGCCGCAGGTGGCGGCTCATGCCTGTAATGCCAGCACTTTGGGAGGCCCAGGTGGGAGGATCACTTGAAGCCAGGAGTTTGAGACCAGCCTAGGCAACATGGAGAAACCCTGTCTCTACAAAAAAAATACAAAAATTATCTGGGCATGGTCGTGGGCGCCTGTGGTCCTAGCTACTTGGGAAGCTGTGGTGGGAGAATTGCTTGAACCCAGGAGGTGGAGGTTGCAGTGAGCTAAGATTGTGCCACTGCATTCCAGCCTGGGTGACAGAGCAAGACCCTGTCAAAAAAAAAAAAAAAAAAAAAAGAAAGAAAGGGAGGGAGGGAGGAAGGAAGGACTACAGAGTCTCAGGCCCCATCCCCGGCCCACAGAATCAGCTTCTGCATTTTATCAAGCTCCCCTGTGATCTTGGAGCATGGGAAAGTTTGAGCGCACAGGCCTGATATAGAAGTTGCCTTTGTTCTGTGCTCTGCGTTTCACACGCCCCATGGGAGCAGGTCCAAGCAACTCGCTTCTCTGTGGCACAGAGAGGTTGAGCCCGATGCCCAAGGTCTCACAGGCAGGGAGAGATGTGACTCGGGTCTCATCATGTATAACAAATATTTCCAGACTCTGCTCCGTGTGACAAGCTGGCTGCACGTGGAAGGCTGAGTTAGTTTCCTACGGCTGTTGTAATAAATTACCATGGATGCCTTAAAACAACAGAGATTCATTCCGTCCCTGTTCTGAAGGCCACAGGCCCAAGATCAAGGTGTCAACAGGGCTATACTTTCTCTGAAGGCTCAGGGGAGGATCCTTCCTGGCTTCTTCCAGCTTCTGGTGGCTCCAGGTGTCCCTTGGCTTATGGCTATATCACTCCAATGTCTCCTCTGTATCTTTGTCTCAATCTCCCTCTCCTTTCTCTCTCTCTCTCCTTTTAAAAAATATATATGAGGTCTTGCTTAACAAAGCCCAGGCTGGAGTGCAGTAGTGTGATCATAGCTCACTGCAACCTCAGACTTCTGGGCTCAAACAATCTTCCTGCCTCAGCCTCCCAAGCCCAGCTAATTTTTTAAATTTATTTTTTGTAGTCCCAAAGTCTCACTATGTTACCCAGACTGGTCTCAAACTCCTGGCCTCAAGTGATCCTCCCACCTCTGCCTCCTGAATAGCTGGGATTACAGGTGTAAGCCACTGTACCCAACCTCCTTTCTCTTATAATGACACTTGTCATTAGATTTTGGGGCCACCTGGATAATCCAGGTTGATTTCATCTCAAGATCCTTAATTATATCGGCAAAGACACTTTGGTTTTTGTTTGTTTTTTGTTTTTTGTTTTTTGTTTTTTTTAAGAGACAGGGTCTTGCTCTGTTTCCCAGGTTGAAGTACAGTGGTGCAATCTTGGCTCACTGCAGCCTTGACCTCCTGAGCTCAAGTGATCCTCCCACCTCAGCCTCCCGAATGGCTGGGTCTGCAGGTGCAGCCACCATGCCCAGCTCAAAGACACTTTGAATAAAGTCACATTCACAGGTTCCAGGCGTTAGGACACAGAGGTATCCTTTTGGGGCGGACGTTCAGCCAGTACACATGTGCCTGCTGCCTGGTCCCATGCTCCACCCCATCCCGCGCTCACAGGAACAGTCCAGCCACGTGAGTTTTCCCAGTGATGAGAGTGGAAGGAATGGCAAGAGCTGATGGCACAGCTGCAGGCTGTGGTCCCTGCGAGGACATGGCGCTATGGCACGAGGCCGAGACAGCCCATGTGTCTGCAGCTGGGGTCATTATCACCCTCACTGCCGGCCATAACGTACTCATGGCCAAGAGGCCCAGTGGCACCATTCCTTGCCGCCTTTTTGCTTATAATGTCTCCGCTCTCATCAGTGATATCTAGAAAAAGACACCCTCTTATTTCCCACCCTTTTCGATCCTTTGGGTCCCACTGTGTCAGCGACAAATGACACTGGAGGATGACCCTGTACAGACCCCAGAGATGCCTCCCAGGGGTCCCCAGGCAGCGCTCTCCCACGGCACCCCGTAGTACCTCAGTTGTAACACGAGGGGGCAGCGCTGAGATATGCGTGTGCTTTCAGGCTCAAAGACCCAGATTCAAATCCTGTTTGTGTCACTTACTGCGTGACTGCAGAGGAATTAATTCACCTTCCTGAGCTGCAGTCTCCTCTTCCATAAATTGAGAATAATATTAGAACCTGCCTCGTGCTGTTATTTGGAGGCATCAAGGTTCACAGTATACAGCAGGTGCTTACTAAGTGTTAACTATTCTCCTTATCATATATGTGTCCAGCTTTCCTAGGAGATGTGAAATGCACCAGGCCTCGGACTAAATCATACTAAATTCGTATACCCAGAACCTGGTACACAGTAGGCACCTAATAATTGTTGAATATTAGAAATAAGACTCAGCAGCAAAAACGGGAGGAAAGGTTATTGGAGCAAAAAGATACTTCATCAGTGAGACCCCCCTTCCATGCACATCTTGTGTTGTTTACTCAGATAGCATTTATTGAGTGCCTACTGTGTGCCCGGCACTTGCTGGACACTGGGAACACAGCTGTGACCCTACAAACACAGACATGGGCCCAGCCCTCAGAAGCTTACCTTTGAGTGGCAGAAGTGACCAGATCATCGGTCACATAGCCTGTCATCACAGTCACAGGGGGACACCAGCATGTCTAGTGCTTGGGGGTACAGACAGGCAGGAAGACAAAGGGAAACAGAAGGGTCTTACGGCCCCCCACTTGGAAACGAGCCCTCATTTTGGGGGGTGTTCTTATGGGACCCTCATCTTTCTGGAGAGAAGACTGTTAAAACAGTCACAGGCCAGGGGCCACTCAAGGTCCCAAGATTGCTGTGGAACCTTCTGGAAGGTCCATATACCCTCTCTCCTCTTTCCCCAAAGCCCGGGAGCAGGAAGGTCATTCCAAGCCCAGTGCTGACTCCAGGAGTCTGATTTCCCAACTCTCCTCCCCAGAAATGCAGGGGCGGGAGAGCTGTCCCCAGCTGTCACCGACTTAGAGAACAAGGAGCCTTAACTGATGGAGACGTACCATACGAACAGCCCCTTTAGGGCCTCTAATTCATTTTCGAGACATTTAAGCATAACAAAATGTTTTAATGATTTCTTAGGGGAATTAGGAAGACATATTTTTGTTCTCATTAAATTTTATCCTCAGACACAAGAACCAAATGTCAAATGTGTGTTGGGCGCTTCCAGCTTCCCCGCTCACTGCCGGCCCCCCAGCTCCAACCCCCTCCATAAAAATAACACTCCTGGAAAATTCGCTGGGACGCGCACACTCCTGTTTTTATATTTCTTGACAGGCAAATTATTTGTCGAAATACTCCTCCCCGCCACCCGAAGCCACACAAGTCCTGATTCAACATTTTTGTTTTGAGTGACTGCTGCCAACACAGATCTTTGGCAGAGAATACGACAGAGCCTGATGGCTCAGCAAGTATTTTGATAAGTGTGCAGCCTGGATGTCTGTAATTACGAAAGAAAACCGTAAATCTTTTGGATATTGTTCACACAGATGTGGCGTGAAGTGAGAAAAAAAAAGCAGTAAAACGTGTTAAAAGCATAATTAATGTCATTGTTGTGGGTGATGATGTGATTTAAACCTCTCTGACTTCTGTATTGGTGATGGCTGATTCCTTTATCGCACTCGTAGAGTCACTAGGTACGGACCCAAGCTTCAGAAGGCTAACTTGTTAACTGAGTGATTAGTTAAAAGGAAAAAAAAAAAAAAAACAAGGAACGAGGAAATGAGAGGGCAGGCAGATGAACATTGCTGAGGAGATAAGAGACAGGTGAGTGCCCCAAAATGTTGTTTTCTACTGTGCTTTGGTTTTTACAAATCTGATGCAGATTTGCAATTCCTGGCAGACATTTCTCACCTTGCTCCTTCTCTTGGGGGGGAGGCTGATCAGGAAGGTGCTCAGTGCCCAGGCTATAGAGGTTGACACACCTGGGTGGAACTCTCAGTTTGGTGTTTTGTGCTGTGTGACCTTGGCCAGGGGCTTTAACCTCTCTGAGCTCTGGTTTCTGTGTCTTTAGAAGAGGGATAGTAATAGAACCTACTCAGGGGTGGACGTGAGGATTCGCTACGCTGTACATGAAAGCATTCCGCAGGGCTGAGTAATCAGCAGCCCATTGACATCAGGGTATAACAGTTATAGGAGTGACAAGCGTCTGCTATTGATTCTACGAGGTTCGGTCTGTTGTCAGGGACATTGGATAAGCAGTGGTGCAGGCAACAGGGTTCCTGAGCCTATAGAATAGGAAAATGCTCTACAACGTTTAAAATTTTTAAATTTGTCTCCTCGATTATAAAAGTAGCATATGCATGCTGTCAACTTCAGAAAATAGAGAGAAACAGAAAGAGGGAAAACGACCAGCTAGAAAAGCATTTTGTTGTTTTTCTTTTCCGTGATTTTTCCCTGTGTACTTTTTCAAAACAGTTGCTGATTCTACATGTACCGTTTTGAATTGTTTCCTTTATCTGACATGAAGCACTCATATTTCCCTGTGTGATTACAGATCCCAAGTAACTTTGATTCATTGTACAAGCCTAACAATCCCTTGTATAGCTGTATTGTAATTTACCTAACCCCTCTCCAACTCTGGACAGTTAAGGTGCTTGGGAACACATCCCCTATTGGTACTGTGCTGTACCAAGAAGAAAATTTGGGAAGGAAAAGTACATTGTAGCCTTGTATTGACCACAAACCCCAGGATCAGTGACCAGAATAAGAATGTTTTTCTCCTTGCTGATTTTATATTGCAGTCCTTTACTTACTAGTTCACTAAATATCTTTTCATATGTTATAAAGCATTCATATTTATACTTTTAGAAATCTCTGGTTTATGTCTCCTTAGCCCAGAGAGTGGATTTTTTCTACCAGAGAGTAGATTATTTTCTTATTGATTTGTAGACACTCTTTGTATATGGGGGATATTAACCTTTGTCCAGGTATACATGTTTCATATATTCTCCCCTGGTTTGCCTTTTGTTTCTCAACTTAGTGTGTAATGTCTCTTGTCTATTGTATGTAGCAGGTATTCAAAAAAATATTTGCAGAAAGCAAGAAATCTTAGCAAATCTTTGCTTTGTAGCTTCTGAATATCCGGTCCTGTTTTTAAAAATCTTTCTCGCCTCAAGGGTATAAGGAGTTTTTTTAGTACTTTTGTGATCTTAATTTTTAAACATTTACATTTGAACCAGCTGAAATATAATAGATATTGATAGAAGTAGCAGGGGAGGTGAAGCATTTAGCTTTGTTTTTGTCCCAAATAACTCGTTTCAGTGCCATCTAGTGGATAAGCCACCTGCACAGCTACAGGAAATAGAGATTTTCTACGATTAGAAAGTGTTGTCTGTGCTAACCTTCCCTCCTTCCCTCCTCCTCTCCCTCCTCCATGCCCACGCTTCTGCTCAGTTAGTCCCATAATGGTCAGTGGAACACTGAAGGTTAGCATAAAACAGTATTTCACCCGTTAAAAAAGGAAAAACTTAACAATGTCAATTTTCCTGAAGATGACAGTTAACTTTATTATTATTATTATTATTTTCTGAGATGTAGTCTCACTCTGTCACACAGGCTGGAGTGCAGTGGTGCAATCTCAGCTCACTGCAACCTCCGCCTCTAGGGTTCAAGCAATTCTCATGCCTCAGCCTCCCGAGTAGCTGGGATTACAGGCACATGCCACTACACCCAGCTAATTTTGTATTTTTAGTAGAGACAAGGTTTCACCATGTTGGTCAGGCTGGTATCGAACTCCCGACTTCAGGTGATCCACCTGCCTCGGCCTCCCAAAGTGTTGGGATTACAGATGTGAGCCACCACACCCAGGTGACAGCTAACTTTAGAAGGCAGTGTCGCACCATTTCCTGCCACACCTCTGCCCATGCCGTTTCCTCAGCCAGGAGCACCCTTTCCCCATGACCCCCTGGCTAAACTTTGCTCCTCCCAGCAGCTCAGGGTTGGAGAGCGGACTGAATGAAAGCATCCAGCCGGGTGCTGCTGCCTGGGAGGTGTTCAGTAAAGGCCAGTCCCTTTCAGAAGGGAGGACAGGCATTCGAGCCGTGGCGTCTCATTAGCTTATGCTCTGAGTGCTTGCTATGTGCCTAGCCCTGTGGGAACTCAAGCTCAAGTCCAGGCCTGCCCTTGGAGACTCTCGGGTTCAGCAAGGACAACATGACCCAAAGACAGACAACCAGAATACACAACAGAAAGCAGGCTTCAAGGAAGGATGGCTGGCAGAGGCCTCAGAGAGGGAGGCCTTTGGACCTGGTTTTAAAGGTTGAAGTGCCACCATGTGGAGGTCATTTCTGGGGTACTTTCTGTGTGTCAGGCAGTGTGTTCGGCCCTTACAGATACAAATTCACTGATTCCACACACACCCATACCCTGGGAGGTAGGTTCCATCATCCTTCCTCACTGGGAAGCTGAAGAAGTACAGGCTCAGATAATTCAAGCCACTTGCCCAAGGTCACACAGCAGAGAAGTGACGGAGCCTGAATCTAGACCCGCCCCGACCCAGCTCCTACCCACTACCCCAGTTGCAAGAGGAATTTAAAAATCCAAGGAGCTTGGACAAAACCACTGGAGATTTGAGCTCTAAAAAGAGTGAAAAACAGTTAAAGGGTCTTTGCTGCCAGTAGATTGAAAAGTTCCAGGCTGGAAGGATGAAGCCTTTGCTGAAATGCAGATGTGTGCTCGAGGAAGAACAAGTGGAACTTTCATTCTGGGGAGACAGTCACACAGCTCCCAACCTGGCAAGTGGAGGAAGAAAGGAGCAAGACTCCAGGTTGAAGAACCTCCCTGCAGAGCCAGGCCAATCCTGTGCTGCCATTTTGCTTCCCACATCACACTTGACTTCTCCGAGCCTCAGTTTCCCCAATGTAAAATGTGGATAATGACCTCCCCTCATTATAAGGGCCATTGGATGGGTTCAGTGAGCAACAGAGAACACTAAACATGGTGCCCAGCAGTCATTGCCCCATGCAATTCATTCAGTAAATATTGAGTGCCTACTGTTTGCCAGGCACTCTGTCAGCAACAGGGGCACAATGTTGAGCAAAACAGACACCACCCCTGCCCTCCTGGAACTTTCTGTACAGCTCAGTATATAAGAACTTGATTTTTTGTTGTTGTTTTTGGGGGTTTTTTTGTTGGGTGTTTTTTGTTTTTTATATTTTTAGTAGAGACGGGATTTCACCATAGGCCAGGCTGGCCTTGAACTGCTGACCTCAGATGATCTACCCACCTCGGCCTCCCAAAGTGCTGAGATTACAGGCATGAGCTACCGCGCCTGGTGAAGAACTTTATTTTTATTGTAAGGCATGTGGGTTTGAGTCCTGGCTGTGCTATTCCCTGGCTGGGTGGCCTTGAGTAACTGGCTCAGCCAACCTCTCTGAGCAGCTGTTTCCTCCTTTGGAAAGCAGACTTACCTCCCAGTGCCACTGGGAGGGCTGAGTAAGGTGAGGACTGTAAAGTCCTTAGCTGGGTGTCTGGCACATAGTAAATGCTCAGTAAACAGTGGCTGCTGCTGTTGGTGCTGGTGGTGGTGGTATTATTATTACCATCAGCACCCAGTGCCAAGAAAGAAGACCCTCATTCCCAGCCCTCTGTCCCTGTCCAAGCCAGGAGGAACCCCCCGCCAGCCCCACTGCCAACTGCCCCAAGAAAGGAGTGGGTAGACACATGGCTCACAGCTGCATATAAAGGCTTGGCACCCCATCTGCTATTGAAAAGTTTAGATTAAAGGATCAAAGTTAGTCTCGCTGCCACCATCAATAGCCTGAGCCTCCCACCCCCGCAGGCGCCCGGAGCCTGGGCCCAGATGGGAGAAGGCTTCTGTCTCGAAGATATTTTGGAGGGGTGCACGCATACTTCTGCATAAATGTGTTTCTAAACAGCCTCTCGGACAGCCTTTCCGGCTCTGTGTTTCCTAAAAAAGCTCCAAATGCCACTTTCCTTCAGATGGACATAGTGGGAGGATAGAGACAGCTCTAGATTCCCCAACCCCCTCCATGATTCAAAAAAAAAAAACAAAAAAACAAAAAAAAACCACCAATAGCATCAGCTAGTGGTGAAAGATGGAATAGGCGAAGTTGTACCCACCTCCCTGACAGTGCCTTTAGAAAGCCTGGTGTGGTCTTCAGATATTATCAGTCCTTTGACTGTGTTCTCTATGGGTTTGGATCCCATGTAACCAAATGAATTAGCCATTTTACTAAGTAGTTTGTGCCCCAGAGCAGGTTGATGTGTGTCGGACAAAGGCGGGTACACTTCCCCACGGTGTCCCCCATCCCTGCACGCCCATCAGGACCTGCCATCTCTGATGGCTCATAGTGGATCCAAGTCTGCCACTCATCAGCTCATCAGAAGGGTCTGTTGTATTTAAACACTTTAGATTTGGGGTCTGTACATCCAGGTTGGATCTGAGGCTGTTTGATCATCGTGGCCACTGCCCTGGTCTGTCTATTGACCATCTGTGTATTGTGGGAGTGAGTAGGGAAATGAAGTCCCGCTCACACCCCTGCGTGGGGCTGGCAGCTCTGGGCAGCCGCATGTGTCGGCTGGAAGGCTTCCGGGAGAAGTGCTGAGCCCAACAGAAACCTGCATCGCTGGCTCCAGGCAAGGAGCTGCACGGATGCCCTGTCACTTCTCCTGACACTAGGATACCAGGCTTGCCAGATGCTGGAGTGGGGGCATGATTTTAGAGGTCGGGGGCTTGGCAGCACCTAGTATTTCCCCAAGTGCGGAGTCCACATGATACTGGAGACAGCCTGGGTGTACCCGGACCCAAGACTGAAACTTTGAACACATTGCAGGATGTGCGGGTGCCACCTTTCTGCTCCCCTCTGAGTAAAGCCTCAGCCAGGTACTGGAGCATCTTCAACACCTCCACGCCACCAGCTCTCCCCTTTGAACCTCAGGAGAGGCGGCCCAGGCTCAAGGTCTTGGGCAGGCCACAGGGTCTAACGAAAATTCAGATTCAGTAACATCCATTTTCTGTTTTGTTTTGTTTTTCTCCTTGCCTTTATTTTTATGGTTGAAGCACCTTCTACTTATGATACAAGATCCCGATTTTCTATTTATGAAAGTGAGATAAAACATTACTTTAAAATATATATATTTTTAAAAAGTGAGTCAGCCCGGGCACACTAGCTCATGCCTGTAATCAAAGCACTTTGGAAGGCTGAGGCGGGAGGATTGCTTGAGTCCAGGAGTTTGAGACCAGCCTGGGCAACACAGCAAGACTCTGTCTCTACAAAAAATTTTAAAAATAGCTGGGCATGGTGACGCGTGCCTGTAGTCCTAGCTACTTGGGGAGGCTGAGGTGGGAGGATCACATGAGCCCAAGGGGTCGAGGCTGCAGTGAGCTGCCAGGATTGCACCACTGTACTCCAGCCTGGATGACAGTGTGAAAATGCTGTCTCAAAATAAAAATAAATAAAAAGTGAGTCACATAGGGCAGATGTCAAGTTAATCATCTTTCGGAGGCATATGGACACAGCAGAAGTTATAAAGGGAATACACCAGAGTCTGGCATTTGGGTCGCATTGGCTTGGTGGAAAGGCCTGGGTTCAAATCCACCTCTGACTTTTTCTTGCCTAGTGACCTTGAGCAAGTGGGTTCCCTCGGCTAGGCCTCAGTGTTCTCATCTGGAAAAGGGGGGTGATAGTGATAGCTCACGTAGTTGTTTCCTTTTTGTTTGTTTGTTTGTTTGTTTTGTTTTGTTTTGTTTTGTTTTGAGACGGAGCCTCACTCTGTTGCCCAGGCTGGAGTGCAGTGGCACCATCTCGGCTCACTGCAACCTCCTGGGTTCAGGCGATTCTTCTGCCTCAGCCTCCCGAGTAGCTGGGACTACAGGCGCGAGCCACCATGCCCGGCTAATTTTTGTATTTTTAGTAGAGACGGGGTGTCACCATATTGGCTAGGCTAGTCTCGAACTCCTAGACCTCGTGATCTGCCCGCCTTGGCCTCCCAAAGTGCTGGGATTACAGGCGTGAGCCACCGCACCCGGCCAGTTGTTTCCATATTTTAAGTGAGATATAGAGATATGCAAAGTGCTGGCACTTGTTGGAGGTGCGGTCAAGAAATTCCAGTTCCTCTGAGCTCTTGGCTCAGGATATCAGGTGGGGGTCTCATCTGCCCCCTGCCCTACCCAACCTTGTGGATGTGGGGGCCCCATCTGCCCCAGGATGAATGGTTGCTGGAGTTTGAGGGATGAAGCCCAGAAACTCACATATGGAGGGCCGCAGCCCACTCTGAACCCAGCTGCCACCCTCGGCCATAGCACCCCGCCCTCCCAGCCTGCGCAGGGAGGGGAAAGGAGATTGGCACTGGGCGTCCCCTGGGCCAGCCCCACATCCCCATCTGTGAAATGGGTTGGTCGTTATGAAGATGGAGCAAAGTTGTATTTCTGGGACGGTAACCCCAGGGGAGGTTAGTAGGACGGTCAGCTGCCATTTCCTTATCTGATGCAAGCCGTTTCTCCTGGTATTTCCTGTGTCTAGTATACTCCCCCGCGACCCCCCTGCTAGCTGCCTCATTAGGGCTCCGCGGAGACACCACTCCCCTCACCAGGCTGCCCATTTAGCGCCACCCAGCCCACCCTCTCCCCCAGCCCTGCTTCATTTTGCTTCTGAGCCCATCTCACTCCAGTTGCCTCACCCATCCTTTGTCCATCATTCCCTCTAGAGTGTCAGCCCCAGGAGGGCAGGAATTTTCTATCATTTCCTGCTGGACCTCCACGGCCCAGAGCTTTCCCTGACACACAGCAGGCACTCGGGAAATATTTGGCAACTGAAGAAATGCTGTCAACACGTAGTGGACTGGTGGCTAAATGACGACTGCATTAGGGACTCTTAGTCACCTGTCACGGCTGTAACAAATACCATGAGCTTAGAGGCTTAAAACAACACACGTTTATGATCTCACCGTTCTGCAGAACAGAAGTCCAAGATGGGTCTCACTGGGCAACAATCAAAGCATTCGCAGGGCCGGGTTGTTTCTGAAAGCAGGAGGCTGCAGGGGAGAAGTCATTTCCTTGTCTTTTCCACCTTCTCGGGCTGGGGCTGCCTATGTTCCTTGGCTCATGGCCTCTTCTTCCATCTTCAAAGCCAGCCGGGCAGCCTCTTCAGTCAATCTCTGACTGTGATCCCCTTCCATCTGCAACCTTCAGTCCCTGTTCCATGTAACATAACACTCACGGGCAGGACGTGGTGGCTCACACCTGTAATCCCAGAACTTTGGGAGGCTGAGGTGGGAGGATCACCTGAGCCCAGGAGTTTGAGACCAGCCTGGGCAACATAGTAAGACCCCATCTCTACAAAAATTAAAAAATTATCTGGACGTGATGGCATGTGCCTGTGGCCCCCAGCTACTCCAGAGGCTGAGACAGAAGGATTGATCGCTTGAGCCCAGGAAGTCGAGGCTGCAGTGAGCCGTGATTGTGCCACTGCACTGTGGCCTGGGCGACAGAGCAAGACCCTGTCTCTAAAAAGAACAACAAAAAACACTCACAGGTTCTGAGGGTCAAGATGTCTTTGAGGAGCCATTATTCTGCCTGCCACAGAGATGCCCCCATGGAAAACTCTCAAACTCTGTGGCGCCCTACCCTCTCACCCAGAGCTCTAATAATTTCATCACTTATCACACATTTCAAACAACCCACGTTAATTGAGCACCTACTATGTGAAGAGCCAGAGCAGGACCCAGGGAAGGAAGGGAAGACTCGGGAATGAAAAACAAGATTCCCTTGGTGTTCCATGGCTGTCAGGTTCTCTGAGAAACGTTTTCCAAACATTTTAAAGATTTTTTGTCATTTCTCTCTCTTTCAATTTGTGTTTGTAAGAGCAGCCAGTGACATTTAGCTGATGCATCGAATAATACCATTGGACAAAGTAAACGGGAGGCCCTCAGGTTTGCCAAGCTGCCCGGCAGAGCATTCTCCTCCATAGAAGTTGGCAGAATCCTGTAATTGTCTGGATGTTAGTAATTTTTTCCTCCCTACCCCAGCTCCCAGCAAGGTAGCTCAGGGCTCCATGAATTCCTGCCAGATAGGGAAGGTGGGAAGAAATGAGTTCCCTGTACAATGTAAAATCTGGGAACACAGCACTGTGCGCTGGGGGAGGAAACAAGGAGTGGAAAATACCCAGGGAAGTAAATGATCATCGTAGCTGTGTACTTTCTAGAGCAGCCAACTGAACCCACAGCCCAGTTCCTCAGGAGTCGGAGAGAATGAGGAGGCAGGAGGACCAGTGCCTAGGAACTGTCAGGTCCCCTTATGGCATGGGCTTGTCTCCCTGAAAGGCAAATGAAATGGGTATAGCAGGAGAGAAGTAGGTTAGACTTGAGTGAGGACTTCCTTCCTATGAGACTTGGAGCCTTGGCAGTTCCTCGGTCCTGCCTGTCTCACAGTTTGTATTGAGTCCATTGCCACATGTTATGGTTTGAATTGTGTCCTCCAGAAAGATATGTTGAAGTCCTAACCACCACTACCTCTAAATGTGGCCTCATTTGGAAAAAGCATCTTTGCAGGATATAATCAAGGTAAGATTAGGTCATTAGAGTGGCCTCTAATCCAGTATGACTGATGTCCTCAGAAGAAGAGGAGAGGCCAGGTGTGGTGGCTCATGCCTAAAATCCCAGCACTTTGGGAGGCCAAGATGGAAGGATTGCTGGAACCCAGGAGTTTGGCACCACAGTGAGCTGTGATCATGGCACTGCCCTCCAGTCTGGGCAACAGAGCAAGACCCCATCTCAAAAATAAACAAGGAGCTGGGCTCGGTGGCTCATGCCTGTAATCCCAGCACTTTGGAAGGCCAAGGCCAGCAGATCGCAAGGTCAAGAGATCGAGACCATCCTGGCCAACATGGTGAAACCCCTTCTCTATTAAAGATACAAAAATTAGCTGGGTGTGGTGGCACATGCCTTTAGTCCCAGCTACTCGGGAGGCTGAGGCAGGAGAATCACTTGAACCCGGGAAGTGGAGGTTGCAGTGAGCCGAGATTGCGCCACTGCACTCCAGCCTGGCGAAAGAGCGAGACTCCGTCTCAAAAATAAACAAACAAACAAGGACCAGGCGCAGTGGCTCGTGCCTATAATCCCAGCACTTTGGGAGGCTGAGGTGGATGGATCACTTGAAGTCAGGAGTTCAAGACCAGCCTGACGAACATGGCGAAACCCCATCTCTACTAAAAATAAAATACAAAAACTAGCTGGGCATCGTGGCTTACGCCTGTAATCTCAGCTACTTGGGAGTCTGAGGCAGGAGAATCGCTTGAACCCGGGAGACGGAGGTTGCAGTGAGCCAAGATCGCGCTACCCTACTCCAGCCTGGGTGACAGAGCAAGACTCTGTCTCAAATAAATAAATAAATAAGAATCAGGGAGAGACAGAAGGTCACATGACAACGAAGGCTGAGATCGAAGTCATGCAGCTGCAAGCCAAGGAAAGCCAGATTGCCAGTGACACCAGAAGCTGGGGGAAAGGCCCAGGTCTCCCCTAGAGCCTTGGAGAGAGCATGGCCCTACTGACACCTGGATTTTGGACCTCCAGCCTCCAAAACACAGCAGAGCAGATTCCTCTGGCTGCTGTGCCCCATTACCACAAACTGGGTGGTTTAAAGCAACAAATGTTTTCTTTCAGCTGCGGAATCCAGAAGCCCCACATCAAGATGTCGGCAGAGTTAGTTCCTTCTGGAGACTCTGCAGGGGTGTCACACGCCTCTCTCCCAGCTTCTGGGGCTGCCAGCAATCCTTGGCACTCCTCGGCTTCTAGATGTGTCATTTCCATCTCAGCGTCCATCTTCACATGGCCTCCTTCCCTGTGTGGCTCTGTGCATCCTCTCTTCTTCTCCTGAGGACTCCAATCATTGCATTAGAATCCAACCTACTCCAATATGATCTCATCTTGACTTGATGACATCTGCAAAGACCCTATTTCCAAATAGGGTCACATTCTGATGTTCCAAATTCACATGAACTTGGGGAAACACTGTTCAGCTCAGTGCACCAGGTCCCACCAACATTTCCTGTGTAACTCTTGAATCTGAGTGCTGCTCCCACTTCTGCCACCACTGTGACCACAGCCATCATCATGGCTGCCAGGACTCTTGCAGTAGCCGCCTATCTGACGCCCTCTACACGCCACTTTTCACAGAGCAGCCAGATGAGCCTTTGAAAAAGGCAAATTAGAATGTGTCCTCCCACTGCCCTTAGGATAAATCCCAACCCTCATCTACATTATCAACAGAGGGGCTTTGGCATCTACGTGCCACCTGTCCCCCCCATCTCCCCCAACTCCACTCCAGCCACTGGGACCTGGTGTCTTGTCCTCAGATGCCACTGAGCTTTGCACAGATTCCTTCCAGCCACCAGCCTTTTGCACAAGCGGTGCCTCCCACCTAGACCTCTCTCCCACAGATCTTCCCTGCTTCTCAGCAGCACCCCTAGTTCCATGTCACTGAGGTCTTTCCCAATCTCCTCCCTAAGGTGAGTCGAGATCCCCCCAGGGTCGGTGTTGATGGAAACATTCTCTATGGTCCCACTGAGCACCTTTGCAAAGGAGCAGCATCTGTCTCCCCCACTGGGAAGTCGGCTGCACAAAGACAAGGGTCTCATTTATCTCACTCACCATCATGCCTCCCACAGACGCTCAATAAACGGGCTGAGTGAAGCAGGCGCAAGGACTCAGGTGCCCTGAGGATCTCTGCCAGCTTCAGACTCATCACTGCAGAAATGCACCAGCACCAGTCACAGATTTCATATCCACAGACTCCTAGGGGGAGGGTCTGTGTTTGTCCTTGTTTTACAGATGGGGAAACTGAGGCTCTGAGAAGCAAGTGATTTGGGTTCTCCAGGAGGCAGATGCCAAGACAGCTTTAGATATGCAAGGGATTTATTAGGGGAAGGCCCGTGAAGGAAAGAGGGGAGAGAGAAGGAGGAGGCGGGATGCTGGTCTGATGCCTGAGAAAGAAGGGAAGGAGGAGGGAGGATTAGCCAGGGTGAGCCTCGGACTGCAGCACGGCTCTGAGAAAATCTTGGCCAGGGTGGTGGGGAGTTTCAGAGCAAGGTGTATTGGTCAGCTCCAGCTACCATTAAAAACATACCACAGGCCGGGTGTGGTGGCTCACACCTGTAATCCCAGCGCTTTGGGAGGCTGAGGCAGGTGGATCACGAGGTCAGGAGATGGAGACCATCCTGGCTAACACGGTGAAACCCCGTCTCTACTAAAAATACAAAAAAATTAGCTGGGCGAGGTGGTGGGCGCCTGTAGCCCCAGCTACTTGGGAGGCTGAGGCAGGAGAATGGTGTGAACCTGGGAGGCAGAGCTTGCAGTGAGCCAAGATCGTGCCACTGCACTCCAGCCTGGGCGACAGAGCGAAACCCCATCTCAAAAAAAAAAAAAAAATACCACAGGCCGTGCGCCTTGGCTCACGCCTGTAATCCCAGCACTTTGGGAAGCCAAGGCAGGCAGATTGCCTGAGGTCAGGAGTTTGAGACCAGCCTGACCAATATGGTGAAACCCCGTCTCTCCTAAAAATACAAAATTAGTCAGGTGTGGTGGCCTGCGCCTGTAGTCCCAGCTACTCAGGAGGCTGGGGCAGGAGAATCACTTGAACCCAAGAGGCGTAGGTTGCAGTGAGCTGAGATCACACCATTACACTCCAGCCTGGGCAACAAGCGTGAAACTCCATCTAAAAAAAAAAAAAAAAAAAAAAAATCACACAGAACAGGAGGCTTAAACGCAAGAAATTTACTTCCCCACGGTGGGGTAGGCTGGAAGTCCAAGATCAAGGTGCCTTCAGGGTTGGTTTCCAGTAGAACCTCCCTTCCTGGCTTGCAGACAGCTGCCTTCTTACTGTATCCTCACACAGCCTTCCCTCTATTGGTGCACAGAAAAAGGAATGGTCAATGGGTCATTTAAATTAATGTCCGCACCTCCCCCCACCAAAGGCTGTTCAGAAAGTCAGGGATGCTTCTGACAATCTAGAGGATACCATAGGTCGGGTGTGGTGGCTCACGTCTGTAATCCCAGCACTTTGGAAGGCCGAGACAGGCGGATCACTTGAGGTCAGGAGTTAGACACCAGCCTGGCCAACATGGTGAAACCCTGTCTCTACTAAAAATACAAAAAAAAAATTAGCCAGGTGTGGTGGCGCATGCCTGTAATCTCATCTACTCTGGAGGCTGAGGTGGGAGAATCACTTGAACCCAGGAGGCAGAGGTTGCAGTGAGCCAAGATCGCGCCACTGTACTCCAGCCTGGGTGATGGAGTGAGACTCTTGTCTTAAAAAAAAAAAACCTATCCCCAAATGTAGTCACATGGGGGGCAGGTTAGGCCTTCAGGATGTGGGTCTGCAGCAGACAGGGTCACAGTTCAGTCCATGGTACAACCGTCTGTTCCAGCATCGGGCAGGACTACCCCCGCCGTGCTCAGCCATTGGAAGATGCCACACCTGGAAGGTGTCACCAATGCCTCGAGGGAGGTTTTCTCTTGAAGGGAGCTCTGAGTGGCACCTTCCACAGCTGCCACGAGTCATAATAATAAGAGCAGCACTCATTTGGAGTCCACAGATGACGGGCACTGAAGCGGGAGCTCGGCGTGCTCAGATAACCCCAGCATAACCCCATGCCGTAGGTCCTTTTGTTATCTCCCTTTTACTAATGGGGAAACTGAGGCTTGGGGACGCTAAGTGACTTTCCCTGGTGATGTTACAGCCAGGGTTTGACCTCCAGCCTCCCAGCCTGGCTTCATTTCCCTTTCTCTAAGCGTGTCTTTGGGGATTTGGGGAAGTCAGTGTTCCCCAATTTCTGTATTTTTAGTAGAGAGGGGTTTCACCATGTTGGTCAGGCTGGTCTCAAACTCCTGACTTCAGACAGTCTGCCCACCTCAGCCTCCTAAAGTGCTGGGATTACAGGCGTGAGCCATGGTGCCCAGCCTGTGGTATGTTTTTAATGGCAGCTGGAGCTGACCAATACACCATGCTCTGAAACTCCCCACCAGCCTGGCCGAGACTTTGTCAGAGTCGTGCTGCAGTCCGAGGCTCATCCTGTCCAATCCTCCCTCCTCCTTCCCTCCTTTCTCAGGCATCAGACCAGCACCCTGCCTCCTCTCTCTCCTTCCCCTCTTTCTTTTGTGGGCCTTTCCCTACTAAATCCCTTGCGTATCTCTTGCATCAAGTTCAACCCTGAGGGTGTCTCATAATCACCCTCCCTGATCATCCCAGCTGTAAGGGATAGACCCAGGGCCAAAGCACCCGCCTCCATGGGATCCTGCCTCTATCTGATGACACCTAATGTTGAGTGCATGCCTAGGATATATTGTAATGGGCATTTGGACAGGGGAACCAGAGAATTCAGTGCATTGTCCAGGGTCACACAGCAGGCCAGCAGCAGGACCGAGGGCAGCCATACGACTTGTGCTCCTGGTCTAATAGTAAGAAGCCAGGGCCCTCATGCTCCGTCTCAAAGCAGCCTGGTCCAGGAGACAAGGCCGGGCAGGAGCACAGCAAAGCTTGGACACGAGCATTGGTCCCTTCTGGCCTCCCTGGGAATCAGCCCATTGTTCTTTACTGAGCACTTAGGTGTACCAGGCACTGTGTTAACTGCTTTACAAAACTTAGGTTTCACATCTTCATAGTAACCTTGGTAGATGCAGTTAGTGTCACCATTTTACAGAAGGGAAAACTGAAGCTTAAAGGGCTGAAATGCTTACTTAAGACCGCACAATGAGTAAGTGGCAGAGATGGGATTCTAACCCAGATGGCTCTGCCTACAGAGCCGCACTTTGAGCTCACCTCCCGCTTCTTGCTCTCGCTCTAATCAAACCTCTGCTCAAGTGACGCTTTCACCTCGTGCAGCTCGGAAGGGCCTCTGGTCTCTTCGCCAACCTCTCATTGTCTCAGTTAGTGAGCAGATGTTTATGAGGCACCTACTGTGTGTCAGCAAACAAGACAAACCTTAGAGCCTGTTTCCTCCTCTTTCCTTCCTGGAGGCGCACTGCAGGAGTCCACCCCTCCTGGTTGCTTCCTGGCCAGGCTGCCCTGCACCAGCCCTGTCTAAGCCACAGGGTTTCCTTTCTCCCCCAAACCTGTGACGACGTCCGGGAAAGCCCAGGGTACACCTGGCCCTGCACCCTCCTGAGCATTCAGTCCTCAGTCTCTTTATTATTAGGCCCAATTTTTACCCAGTCTTGAAATGAACCTGTATCTTAGGTCTCCTTTGGCCCAAAATCACTCATCACATGTATCCATCAGGGTTCTTTAGTGTCATGCAGCAGAAGCCAGCTCTGCAAAACTATCAGGCACGAAAGGAATTTATTAGAAGGCAGAAGGTGGGGGAGAATGGTGAGACCACCTGGGTCAGATGGGACCAGAGCAGTGAGTAGCTGGGCCGGCTGAGGGATTCATTCAAATTCCCAGGGCAGAGCATCTGACCCTCTGCCAGGGGAAGGCGGGGCATCTTAATTGACAGCTCCATTGTATCTAAGAGAGAATGGAAATCACCCATTAGTTAGAAGGTCTAACGGCCGAGCCATGAACCACCCCACCTGCTCCCTGAAAGGACTAAGATTGACACATGTGAGAATCTTTAGGACTGAGTCCCTGAGATGTTTGACAAATTCCTCAGGGGACTCTGATGTGCCCCTGCTTAGAGCCAGCAAGTTCTCTCAAGCACCCCATTCTGCCAAGCAGGGCCAGTGTCCCTGGATGGCAGCCCAGCCCTCCCTGCCTCACCCTGGGGAAATGACTTCACCCCAGTGCCTCCATTTTTCCGTGTGGGAAATCGGGATCCAGCAGTGCCTGCCTCCGTGTTGTGGTGAAGACTGAATGAATTCTAATCCGTGGAAAGGGCCTTGGCCGTTAGGACTCCGTTGCAGCCCGACTTTGGCCAAGGCATCTGGATGTCACCGCCACCTTCTCCCTCAAGTTGGGGAATCCGGGGCAGCACAGTGTGAGAGGAAGAGGTCTAAGGGCCCATCTCAGCCTGCCACCAACTCTCCAGCGGATTTCAGGGATAATATCAGACCCCACTGTGTCCTGGGGTGGAAGGGATGTTGGCCAGATTGATCTGATAGATCCCTCCCCAGTGTGACTTTCTAAGCTTGAATCTTTGGGTCTCAGAGTAGAGTTAGCTCAAAGCAGGATTATTAGACTCTGGGTCTCTGAGGGACTGATGCATACAGGTGAAGCCATACCCTGTCCCGAGTTCCACAGAGCATATCTGCCCAGACAGCCAGCGCCCAGAATGCCAGCACCTGGTGTGCTGCCTTGTCTAGGGGTGATGAAAGCACACAACGCCTAGCAAGGCCCACCCTGTGCCTGGCACTATGCAGTTCTCTGCACACCTTCTCTCCCCCAGTCCTTAACCACCCTACACATGCACCCCCATTTTACAGATGAGGAAACAGAGGCTCCAAGAGGTTAGCTTGGCCAGTTGCAGTAAGAGCTGACACCCGATCCCTAAATCACTACTGCCTCTCTCAATATCTTTTTTAAATCTTCCCAATAAGAATTCCTGGGAAGGCCAGGTGTGGTGGCTCACACCTGTAATCCTAGCAAGCCTAGGAAGCCAAGGCAGGAGGATCACTTTAGGCAGGGGTTTGAGACCAGTCTGGGCAACATAGCAAGACCCTATCTCTACAAAAATTAAAAAATTAGTGGCCAGGCGCAGTGGCTCATACCTGTAATTCTAGCGCATTGGGAGGCCAAGGCAGGTGGATCACCTGAGATTGGGAGTTTGAGACCAGCCTGGCCAACATGATGAAACCCCATCTCTACTGAAGATACAAAAATTAGCCTGGCATGGTGGTAGCTGTAGTCCCAGCTACTCGGGAGGCTAAGGCAGGAGAATCGCTTGAACCCAGGAGGCAGAGGTTGCAGTGAGCCAAGATCGAGCCTTGGCACTCCAGCCTGGGCAACAGAGCAAGACCTTGTCTCTAAATAATAACAATAATAATAATTCCTGGGAATTAGGAAGTTTCCAGGTTATAAGTGGAGAAACTGAGGCTCCAGGCCCCATGGGATCTGGACCCTGAGCTGGACTTTGGATTCTGTGAGCTTAATGACTGTTTTACACTGTACCTGCAAAGGAAGGCAAAAAGACAGAGCTTTGAAATCTATGGACCTGAATCAAAGGTCCAGCCAGCCCCTGTTCCCACCAGCCTCTCTGGGGAGCCACCTGAGGCCAGCCTCCCCAAGACAGAGCACACAGCCAGCAAGGAATGACCCAGAGGGCCTCGGAGTAGAACGAAATGTCAATACCTAATCCCTGCGAACAGGGTGAGTGACAGACATCCTTTATCACCAAGTATAGTCGTTTGGCTCAATGGGCTCATGGCCAGCAGGGCCCCTGGGCCACGAGCCGGATCCTCCCCCTCCTTGGAACCGGAGCAAGCCCTCCGTGGCCCTGCGCAGTCCGCGTGGCACCGCACCGTCTTGTGTTTGTCTAACTTCCCTGACCCCGGCGAGTGCTCGTTGCCTTTTTTCCTCCTGTCTCAAAAACCGGGACACAATAGGAAGCGTTTCCTTGAACTTATTAAAAAATCCAGACTTGTAAATTAATTTGTTCGTGTTGTACAAAGGCAGTGCAGATGGACTCATTAGCATGCACACAACAAATAATTATAGATGAATTTTTAGCTGGCCTGCCTAATGCGCTTGCTGGGTTAATTATGTCAATGTATAATTACATCAGCCCGGGGAGACATAATGGCATACCCTGCTGCGCAGGCCCTGCCTAATGACGGGGCGTGGGGGCTGCCGGCAGATGAAAGCCACCGCCGCCTTCCCGCGCACCTGCTTACCTCGGCATGGACGCCCATTGTCCAAGCCCCTGCCACCTAAACAAACAGGCCACAGCAGAGTAAAACAGGGAAGCCGCCTTGTTCCAGCCGGACCTGAAGGCCCCATGTACAGGCATTGCCCCGTTTCTTCCATCAGCAGATCTTTGTTGGGTTGGACTGTGGGTCATACTTCATGGTAGGTAGAAGAATTCCAGCAGGGTAGGGGTGGAAGGGAGTGCAAAAACATGCAGTCTGGCCTTGCCTTGTCGAGTTTGCAGTCCAGTGGGTGTTAATTAGGTGAACCTGCAAATAAACATGCATTAGAACTGCAGTGGGTACCGTGAAGGAAAGGTGTAGGCAGTTCATATCAGAGGACAGGTTAGTCGAGGAGGGCTTCCTGGAAGAAGTGACATTTGAGTTGTACTATGGAAGGCAAGTAAGTGTTTACTAGCTGAAAGGGGTAGGTCAGGGGAGGGTGTTCCTGGCAAAGGTTCTCGTGCAAAGGGTCTGAGGTGGGAAGGTAAGAAGAAGCCAATGTGACTGGAGCTCAGAAAGAAGTGAGGGCTTCTGCTTACTCTGAGCTAACCAAGTGTCTGGTGCCATGTGGAGCATTTTACATGCATCCTTACCACAGCCCCATGAGGTTGCTACATTTATGGTGAGGCACAGAGAGGTAGAGTCACTTGCCAAAGTCATACAGCAATCCCAAGAAGCAAGTATAGATTAGCAGACTCCAGGGATACCTAACCTTGAGGTCCACACTCTTGATCCCTCTGCTTCCCAGCAGAGAGCAAGGGCCAAGCAGATACTGGCAGAAAAATCTGGGGGAGCGACCAGGCACGATAACTCATGCCTATAATCCCAGCATTTTGGGAGGCCAAAGCAGGCAGATCACCTGAGGTCAGGAGTTCGAGACCAGCCTGACCAACATGGTGAAACCCCAACTCTATTAAAAATACAGAAATTTGGCCGGGCGCAGTAGCTCATGCCTGTAATCCCAGCACTTTCGGAGGCCAAGGTGGGTGGATCACCTGAGGTCAGGAGTTCAAGACCAGCTTGGCCAACATGGTGAAACCCCATCTCTACCAAAAATATAAAAATTAGCTGGGTGTGATGGCGCGCATCTGTAATCTCAGCTACTCAGTAGGCTGAGGCAGGAATGTTGCTTGAACTCAGGAGGCGGAGGTTACAGTGAGCCGAGATCGTCTCACTGCACTCCGGCCTGGGCAACAGCACAAAAAAAATAAATAAATACAAAAATTACCCAGGCGTGGTCGCACACACCTGGAATCCCAGCTACTCGGGAGGCTGAGTCAGGAACATAGCTTGAACATGGGAGGCAGAGATTGCAATGAGCTGAGATCACGCCACTGCACTCCAGCCTGGGCAACAGAGCCAGATTCTGTCTCAAAAAAAGAAAAAAGGAAAAAAGAAAATTCTGGGGGAGAGACCAGGAAGAGACAGGGCTTCCATGCATTAGAAAGAACTGAACCAGACTAGGCCCCTTGGTCTATATCCAGGACCCTGGCTTTCCTGGGTGCCATGGACACCATCTGCACCTGCTGGGGCTGTCAAGAGCAGGCACTAGGACAGGAGGCCTTTGTGATATCAAAGCAAGAGACCCAGATTCGAGTCTCACATCTACCTTTCAGCAAGTCACCTGGTTTCTCTGAGCCTCAGTTTCCTCATCTGTGAAAATGCCTTGGATCCAAGCCAGCCTCCAGGGGATGCCGTGAGGATGCTGGGAAGCCAGTCCTGTGCATGGGTTTTGTAGCCTGGAAGGTGCCAACACACCTCTGAGATGATCCACATTTCTTAGTCCCTGCCCTAGATGGGGACTTGGGGAAAGTGTCCTGGAAGAAGTGAGGCAGGACTCCAGAGTGTAAGGAAGCGGATGTGCTTGCGGTGTAAAGGGCTGGGAGAGGGAACCGAATTCCAGGCAGAAGGACCTGCACGTTCCTCACCTTTGAGTGATTGGGGAATTGGTGGACATCTTACATCTAGATGTGTGTTTTGCCCCCGAAAAAGTCCTTAACCAACAACGTGTGTCACAAATGATGGTGTCACCAGGTCCACCGAGAAGCACACCAAGGATTACATGGGAGAGGATATTGGTGCAAAATAGGAATGCAGGGAGCAGGAAGGCTGGGAGAGCTCGCGGAGAGGTGGGGCAGCTGCCTGGGAGCATCTAGACCCCCACATAGCCTACAGAAGTGCTGGCCGAGGCCATGGGGGAGTCATCACTCCAAAGTCAGTCCTCAGAGCAGTCCCACCTTGGTATCCCCGCTTCACACAGGCATGGTTGGCAGAGGCGGTGGGAAGATTGGCCTCAGAGCGATGGATCTCAGAGCAGCAGCCAGATCCTTGCTCAGTGCCCCTCGCTGTAGTTGGAGGTCTGCAAGGCACAGTCTTAAAGTGCCACAGATAGCATCATAAAATCAAGAAAATGCAATGAAGCCAGGGCAACATGGTGAGACTTGTCTCTACAAGAAAATACAAAAATTAGCTGGGCATGGTGGTGCACACCCTTGATCCCAGCTACTCGGGAGGCTGAGGCAGGATCACTTGAACAGAATCTCACTCTGTTGCTGAGGCTGGGGTACAGTGATGCAATCTCCACTCTCTGCAGCCTCGACCTCCCAGGCTCAAGTGATCCTCCCACCTCAGCCTTCTAAGTAACTGGGACTACAGGCATGTGCCACCATGCCCAGCTAATTTTATTTTATTTTTTTGAGATGGAGCCTTACTCTGTCCCCCAGGCTGGAGTGCAGTGGCATCATCTCAGCTCACTGCAACCTCTGCCTCCCTGGTTCAAGTGATTCTCCTGCCTCAGCCTCCCAAGTAGCTGGGATTACAGGTGCCCACCACCACACCCAGCTAATTTTTATATTTTTAGTAGCAACGGGGTTTCACCATATTGGTCAGGTGGTCTCAAACTCCTGACCTCAGGTGATCCACCTGCCACAGCCTCCCAAAGTACTGAGATTACAGGCATAAGCCACTGCGCCCAGACTATTTTTTAAATCTTTTTGCAGAGATGAGATCTTGCCATGCTGCACAGGCTGGTCTTGAACTCCTGGGCTCAAGTGATCCTCCCACCTTGGCCTCCCAAATTGCTGGGATTACAGGCGTTAGCCACTGCACTCAGCCAACCTTTTTTTTTTTTTGAGATGGAGTCTTGCTCTATCGCCCAGGCTGGAGTGCAGTGGCGTGATCTCAGCTCACTGCAATCTCCACCTCCTGGGTTCAAGCGAGTCTCCTGCTTCAGCCTCCCGAATAGCTGGGACTACAAGCATGCACCACCACACCCGGCTAATTTTTTTGTATTTTTAGCAGAGACGGGGTTTCACCATGTTGGTCAGGCTGGTCTTGAACTCCTGACCTCAAATGATCCGCCTACCTTAGCCTCCCAAAGTGCTGGGATTACAGGCATGAGCCACCGCACCCGGCCTGGCCAACTATTATTATTGTTAGTATTATTCCCAGCTGGGCAGGATACCCATACCCTGGAGATAGCAGGTGCTCCCCTGAACAAGTGCCTGGACAAGCCTGCTCCCTCGTAGAGCAGAAAGTCCATGCTACTTCCTGTAAGCCAGCGGGGTGACTCCGATGGCTCCTGTGGAACCTGCCAGGCCCTGCAGCCACAGCCCGGGTGTCCCTATCCATCAGGCCCTCACTATCCCTGTCTTTCTCTCCCTGCACAGACCCCGTGCCTGTGTTTGAGGCGGCACGCAGCCTAGACGACAGACTGCAGCCCCCCAGCTTTGACCCCAGTGGGCAGCCCCGGCGAGACCTCCACACTTCGTGGAAGAGGAACCCCGAGCTCCTCAGCCCCAAAGGTACTGATAAGGCCTTCTCGGAGCGTCTACAATAAACAACCAGGCTGCAGATCTTCAGAGCCAAACTCAGCCAGCCTTGTTGCGGGGTGGCTGGGGCAGGGAACTGGGCAGGTGAAGGCCTTTGGTAACCATCTAGTTCCTGGGTATATATTGATCCTGGTGCTGGAAATGCAGTTAGGAGTAAAAGAGAAAAATCCTGCCCTTGTGGTGATGATCTTCTAGAAGGGGAGACTGTCAGTGAACAAATTAGTAAGACTCATAGTGTGGCAGGTGGAGAGAAAAGTCAACAGACCCGTTCAGGTTCCCACCCTCCATGGCCAGCCCCAAAGCACCCTCTGCCCCAGTGACGAATTCAGCACCAAAAGCACCCACCAAGCCCTGGGATGAGCCCTTGCCGAGCTGGACATGACGCAGGTGAGGCCAGTGATGGCTGAGTGTCCACATGGGCGCCCTCCACAGTAGGGAGGGGAAAATGTCTGGCAGTCCTTCAGTAAGTAAAACACAGGCTCACCACATGACCCAGCAGCGCCACGGCTAGGTGTGGACCCCAGAGAATTGAAAACACAGGCTCAAAACAGTGTACACAAATGTACATGGCAGCGTTACTCATAACAGCAAAAGCAGAAACAACTCAAGTGGCTTTCAACAGCTGAATGGACAAATAAAATATCCATAGAATGGAATATTACTCGGCCATGAAAAGGAAAGAAGCACTGATCCATGCTACAACATGGATGAACTTTGAAAACATGGTGCTGGCCAGGTGCAGTGGCTCATGCCTGTAATCCCAGCACTTTGGGAGGCCAAGGCGGGTGGATCACAAGGTCAGGAGTTCCAGACCAGCCTGACCAATATGGTGAAACCCTGTCTCTACTAAAAATACAAAAATTCACCGGGTTTGGTGGCTCACACCTGTAATCCCAACTACTTGGGAGGCTTAGGCAGGAGAATTGCCTGAACCTGGGAGGTGGAGGTTGCAGTGAGCCAAGATCATGCCCCTGCACTCCAGCCTGGGTGACAGAGCAAGACTCCATCTCAAAAAATAAATAAAAAGAAAACATGGTGCTGAGTGGAAAATGCCAGACAGGAAAGGCCACGTAATGTACGATTCTGTTGGTGTGAAATGTCAAAACAGGCAAATTGGTAGAGACAGAAAGGAGATTGGTCGTTGCCTAGGGCTGCAGGAAGGGGAATGGGGAGTTGTTTAATGGGTATGAGGGGTTTCCTTTTGGAAAATTGTGAATATACTAAATGTCACTGCAAAATGGTGGTTAAAATAGTGAATTTTGGCCAGGCACGTTGGCTCACGCCTGTAATCCCAGCACTTTGGGAGGCCAAGGCGGGCAGATCACTTGAGGTCAGGAGTCCAAGACCAGCCTGGACAACATGGTAAAACCCCATCTCTACTAAACATACAAAAATTAGCCAAGCATGGTGGCAGGCACCTATAATCCCAGGTACTCGGGAGGCTGAGGCGGGAGAATCGCTTGAACCCAGGAGGCAGAGGTTGCAGTAAGCTGAGATTGTGCCACTGCACTCGCAGTCCAGCCTGGGCAACAGACCAAGACTCCGTCTCAAAAAAAAAATAAAAAATAAAAAAAGGTGAATTTTATGTGACGTATATTTTACCACAATTTTAAAAGTATAATAAAGCAGGCCGCGGAGGCATGAGCAGGCAAAAGAAGGTCTGCGTGTGCTGACGCTGGTGCCACAGTGGAAATGACCTGTGTGCTGAGGACATGCGGCCCGCAGGGCCCCACAGCTGCGCTCTCTCCAAGGCCCAAGTTTGGGAAATTGATCACAATCAATGATCGATCCGGTTTACAGAAAGCGGCTCTGGCTGCCACGTTGCTCTCTTGGCAATGGGGGTTTTCCCTCTTTTTCTCCCTGCAGAGCAGAGAGAGGGGACGTCGCCTGCCGGGCCCACGCTGACCGAGGGAAGCCGCCTCCCAGGCATTCCCGGGAAAGCCCTCCTGACAGAAACCTTGCTGCAGAGAAATGAGGCGGAAAAACAAAAGTGAGGAAGGGAAGGTGGGTGGGAGGGAGGAAGGAATGGGCAGGGCTCCTGCTGCCCCACCTGGCTGGGTCGTGGACGGGGAAAGTCTCCTACCAGAATCCAGATGCAGGCTGGAGACCGAGATGAGAAAGGGCC
Source organism: Homo sapiens (assembly GCF_000001405.40). Lineage (NCBI taxonomy): Eukaryota > Metazoa > Chordata > Mammalia > Primates > Hominidae > Homo > Homo sapiens. The sequence continues at coordinate 111,293,705 of NC_000012.12, forward strand.
GAGGGCTTTGGACTCCAACCGGGTCTGGGTTCAAGTTCCACTGCAGGAACTCAGTGGCCAGCCCTGGGCAAGTCACATCATCCTCTGAGCCTCAACTTCCCTACCTGGGAAATGGGGCTAAGGGTGGTCCATTCCTCAGCATTCTCTAGAGAAACTGAACTGGTAGGATTTTTTAAATGATTAAGACATGTATTCCTAGGACTTAGCTTATGCAGTTGTGGGAGCTGCCAGGTGCAAAATTGGTAGAGCAGGAGTTGGTGCTGCAATCTTTTTAAATTTTATTTTACAATAATTATAATGTTTTAGAGATGGGATCTTGCTCTGTCACTCAGGCTGGAGTGCAATGGCACAGTTATAGCCCACTGCAGCCTGTAATCCCGACACTTTGGGAAGCCGAGGCAGGAGGATTGCTGGAGGCCATGAGTTCAAGACCAGCCTGGGCTACAGAGCTGGAGTGCAGTGTTGCAATCTTGGCTCACTGCAACCTCCACGTTCCGGGTTTAAGCAATTCTCCTGCCTCAGCCTCCCGAGTAGCTGGGATTACAGGTGTGCACTACCACACCTGGCTAATTTTTGTATTTTTAGCAGAGACAGGATTTCACCATGTTGGCCAGGATAGTCTCAAAATCCTGACCTCAAGTGATCCTCCCGCCTTGGCCTCCCAAAGTGCTGGGATTACAGGTGTAAGTCTGTGTGCCCATATATATATGCACATTTTTTTTTAATTAGCCAAGCATGGTGGCGTGCACCTGTGGTCCCAGCTACATGTGAGGCTGAGGCAGAGCAGAGGATCACTTGAGCCCAGGTGGTCGAGGCTGTAGTGAGCTATGATTGCGCCACTGCACTCCAGCTTGGGCAACAGAGCAAGACCCTATCTTTTCAAAAAAAAAAAAAAAAAAGAAAGAAAACAGGCCGGGCGTGGTGGCTCATGCCTATAATCCCAGCACTTTGAGAGACTGAGGCAGGCGGATCACTTGAGGTCGGCAGTTTGAGACCAGCCTGACCAACATGGTGAAACCCTGTCTCTACTAAAATTACAAAAATTAAGCTGTGTGTGGTGGCAGGCGCCTGCAATCCCAGGTACTCAGGAGGTTTAGGCGGGAGAATTGCTTGAACCTGGGAGGCGGAGGTTGCAGTGAGCCGAGTTCGGGTCACTGCACTCCAGCCTGGGCGACAGAGCGAGACTCCATCTCAAAAAAGAAAAAAAAAGAAAACGGAGGAAATATTCCTCCCCCAGGACAGTATAAGTAACTCACAATATTGCAGAACTATTGGGGGCTGAGCACACCACTGAGCATGCTTCACAGTACCCCCTGAGGCAGACCCTATCAGAAACCTCATTTTAAAAATAAGGAAACTGAGGACCAGAGAGGTTGCTTGCTACTGTAAATTTTGCCCCTAAAAATCCTGGCAGAAACTAACAGGAGCAGCCATGACAGGGTCCACATAGGCAGTGGAGCAGCAGGACAGCCAGGTGCCTGAATGTCGTGTCTAAGGACTTGCAGAAAGACAGAGGTGCAGGTTACAGGGAGTGGGCAAGGGGTAGGAAGCAAGATGGGGCTCGACTCGGGGGCCCCAGGCAAGGCCTGTCCCTGCAGCCAGCACAAGCAGGCCTCGTCTCTCCGCAGGGGCCTTCAAGAAGTACAGATCACTTTGGCGGCCAGACTGGGGGAGGCAGAGGAGAAAATCAAAGTCCTACATTCAGGTATGTGTCGGCACCATGTGGCCTAGAGGGAGGACTGGGAGGGGACGGTAATGCTGTCAACGAGGGGTCACGGCTTGGGGTCTGCCACATCCAGGTGTTTTAGAATCAAGAGGGCAAAATGGGAGTTTGGGAAGAATAATCTTACCCAGTGGGGGGCTGAGCCTCTATGCCCCAGAGGCCACATTGCTGTGGAAAGAGGATTTGAGACAGAATTAATTCAGGTGATGGCCAGGCGTGGTGGCTCACATGTGTAATCCTGGCACTTTGGGAGGCTGAAGTGGGAGGGTCGCTTGAACCCCAGAGTTTGAGACCAGCCTGGGCAACATGGCAAGACCCTGTCTCTAATTAATTAATTAATTAATTAATTAATTTAATACAACCCCTGCAGGGGCCAAAACGCTACCAAGCCACCGACTTAGGGGAGGCGTTGGGGAGGGGTGAGGTCTGGGGCAAACTGGAGAAATGAGGCCTCATCTAAAGAGACAGCCACTGCTTAGTACCAGCCAGGCGCTACCATATGGTCCCCTGTGGCCAGGCCCTTCCATTTTCCCAGAGAAATTAGAAATCTGGAGTTGTATCAAAAACGCTCGTTCATTGTAACACATGAATCTGTTCATTGTGTGGATCTTCCCTGTCTTCCGGCCTGCCAGGTTGGAACCTCGGGGTGGTTGAACACCTCGGGATGGATGGCCCTGCCCAGGTCCTGAAATGACTTAAGGGTGTTGGGGGGCTTATACCCCAGGTCATGGGGCAGACAGCACCACGCCTCCACCCCCCAACCCCGGCCTGGGTCCCCTGAGCTACCTAGGCCCATGGAGAGACCTCATCTGCCCCGCACTGCCCACCCCAGCCACTGCACATCCCTCTCACCAGCCTGAGCCCCTTTAGGGGCAGGAAACTCACTCACCGTCACCAGTTCTGACTGAGAGAAAGATCTCCCTCACTACCCGAGCTCTCATTCTGCCTGCTGGGCTTCGCAGAAGGAGTGGGCTCCACCTCCCTGGGAGACCCAGCTCCTTCCCACTCGGAGGTGGGGCCTCACCCTGCCTCTGCTTTCTCCCAGCGCTAAAGGCTACGCAGGCAGAGCTGCTAGAGCTGCGGCGGAAGTACGACGAGGAGGCAGCATCCAAGTAAGTGAGCCCTGCTGAGGTGTACCTCCTCCCTTGGAGGCCTCCCAGACAGGCCTCCTCCTTCTGACCCTCCAGTACTTGCCTCCTCCCTCTGACCCTCCCAGACACACCTCCTCCCTCTGACCCTCCAGTACTTGCCTCCACCCTCTGGCCATCCCAGACACGCCTCCACCCTCTGGCCCTCCCAGAGAGGCCTCCTCCCTCTGACCCTCCAGTACTTGCCTCCACCCTCTGGCCATCCCAGACACGCCTCCACCCTCTGGCCCTCCCAGAGAGGCCTCCTCCCTCTGACCCTCCAGTACTTGCCTCCACCCTCTGGCCATCCCAGACACGCCTCCACCCTCTGGCCCTCCCAGAGAGGCCTCCTACCTCTGACCCTCCAGTACTTGCCTCCACCCTCTGGCCGTCCCAGAGAGGCCTCCTCCCTCTGACCCTCCAGTACTTGCTTCCACCCTCTGGCCCTCTCAGGCCTTCTCCCTCTGACCCTCCCAGACACGCCTCCTCCCTCTGACCCTTCCAGACAGGCCTCCTCTCTCTGACCCTCCAGTACTTGCCTCCTCCCTCTGACCCTCCCAGATATGCCTCCACCCTCTGGCCCTCCCAGACAGGCCTTCTCCCTCTGACCCTCCCAGACACGCCTCCTCTCTCTGACCCTCCCAAACACGCCTCCTCCCTCTGATCATCCCAGACACGCCTCCACCCTCTGGCCCTCCAGTACTTGCCTCCTCCTTCTGATCCTCCAGGACTTACATCCTCCCTCTGTCCCTCCAGACATGTCTCTTCCCTCTGACCTCTCAGACATGCCTCCTCTTTCTGACTCTTCTCCTTCCTCTGAGTCTCGGCTGGAGGCCCCCGTTTCATTAAGCACCTCTGCTCCTCACCCCCAAAGGCACACAGCTGTCATTTGCTGTGCCACTCACACACCACAGCCATAAATAATGTCCTGGGACCTGGGCTGAGTGAGGGGCTGCTTGGTGGGGGCCTCCCCCTTTGCTCTGGGCCCCTGGGACTGTCCCCGCTCCCCAGCTCCACACTCCAATCCTCAGGGGCTGAGAGGCATTCACCTAAATTACTCTGGACTCAAGCGTTTCTTTAGGCTTTAAGAAATCATTCATTCTGCAAACACTTATTGAGCACCTGCTGTTTATCCAGTGCTGTTCTGGGTCCTTGGAGGAAACATGAGAACATGACCCGGTCCTCAGTCAAGGAGAGGAGACAAAAACTGATGTGCAGTGATACATTTGTTCATTCACACATATTGAGCACTTACGGTATGCCCAGCACTGTTCTTGGCACATGGCAAATGCTACAAAGGGAAGAACTGGGGATGGGAAAAGAGAATGACAAGCAGGGGTAGGTCCTTTATCCAGGGTAGTCAGGGAGAACTCCCTGGAGGAGGTGGCTTTCAGAATGAGGAGAAGGCCATGTGAAGAAAGCAGGGAAGGGTGCTCCAGGCAGCAGGAACAGCTTGAGCCAAGGAAGGCCCTAAGCATGCATGAAGCATGTGTGTGGCCTTGGGTCACAAAGTGCTCCCCACGTGCCCCCCGCGTCTCCCACCCCCTGCTAACAGAGGGGATGCCTCTCCCAAGCCCCTCCATGCTGGCAGCCTGCAGGGGGCTGGGCAGCGCAGTAAACAAGTGACCACTGGGGACAGTGCAGGGCGGCCTCCCCGGAGAACACTGTGATCAGGGTTTTAAAGCCGGGGGCTGTTCTCTTGAGGATGGGCATTCCAGGCACTACCAGGACAAAGGCTTGGAGGTGGAGTTCAGAGAGTGGCCCCTGGGGGAGAGGGGAGGCCAGGCTGTCCTGAAGAGGTGCAGTGCTGACGCCCTACTCCCTTTTCCTCGAAGCCTAGGCTCTTTTCTCCCCAGCCCGATTTCTCTCCTGTAGCAAGGCCTTCAGCCCTCCCCTGGGCTCAGGCAGGGGCTGGGGGTGTCAGGAGGGGCGGGGGCCTGGAGCCCGCCGGAAGCCCTTCCTCAGGGCCTCATCTTTGTGTCTCAGGGCAGATGAAGTCGGCCTGATCATGACCAACCTGGAGAAAGCTAATCAGGTGAGGAGGCGCAGTTCCCACCCGTGGGTGCCAGAGGCTCCCTCTGCCTGGGGTGGGGGTCTCGGGCCAGATGAGGAGGAAGGGACTGAGCTTCATCAATATTTATTCAACTGTGGGTCTTGTGCATGCCAAGTGAGGGAGCCAGGAGGAGTCTGGGCCCCAGGCCCTGCCCTCCCCAAGCTCCCAGGGTGGGCCCAGGGTAGGGGGTTGGGGTAGGGAATGCAGACAGACACACTTGGAAATAGAGTGCTCCAAGCAGCAACAGGCAGGAAGGGGCCGCTGACCCAGACTGCGGGAGTCCAGGAAGACGTCCTAGAGGAAGGGATGTGGAGCTAAGACCCAAAGAATAAATGACAGCATATCTAGGCATGGATTCTAAGTGGGGCTCCCGCCTCCTGCCTTCCTCCGGCTCAGAGGTGCTGCCATCTGGTGGGCAGAGTCAGGCAGGACTTTAAAAGAAGGGCAGCCACAGCCAGGGGGCTCCAGCCCGGAGTCTTGAGTGCCCACCATGTCTGTCCCCCAGCTCCCTGCAATGCCACCAGCCAGAGACATGGCCAGGAGAGGCCAGCAGGGCCTTGAGCCCTCTGTCCCTTGGCTCATCTTCCTGCCTGTGGGGTGGGAGAAGATGCCCACCCGCCCTGAGGTCTGCGGGCCCGCACTGTGGCAGGGAGAGAGGTCATTTTCCCCAGGGGCAGTTAAAAGGGGCCTCTTGGAAGACATTTTGAAGCTGGGTTTCAGAGTCCTGATGCTGTCCCCTGAGGGAGGGCAGCCAGGTAGAAGGCTCAGCAGGAGCAGAGGCCCGAGGTGTGGCTCTTTGGGCGCAGGGTGGGGGCACTCCCTCCTACAGAGGAGACTTGGATAAAAGGGCTGATTCTATGTCCCTGGGAAGCCACCAGAAGGTGCAGGCCTGGGCTGGAAGTGCTGAGACTCTATGAGCCCCTACCCCTATAGAAGCAGTGTCCCCTAGGAGGGTCGGGAAGGCCAAAGTCAGGGCTAGGTTACCGTGGTGGTGGTAACCGCAGTGGCTTCCCTGAGCTTAGGTCCAGCATATTTTTCTGAAATGATCATTAAGTAAGCCCCATTTTGTATAGGCTACATAGCCTTTTTAGAATGATTTTTTGAATAGGTAATGCATTCATGTAGTTCAGAACTCAAGAAGCTACACAAGGGCCTGTCTAGGAAAGTCCAGCTCTCCTCCGAGTTCTCCTCCCCTGCAGCAGCCTCTCTCACCAGCCCCTGGGTTCTCCTTCCAGAGATGGTCAATCCATTCACAAGCCCACGAATATATCTTTTTGTGGGGGGCAAGGGGGACAGGGTCATACTCTGTCGCCCAGGCTGGAGTGCAGTGGCACAATCATGGCTCACTGTAGCCTTGACTTCCCCGGCTCAGGTGATCCTCCCACCTCAGCCTCCCAGGTAGCCAGTTAGCTGGGAACAGAGGCGTGTGCCACCACGCCGTGCTAATTTTTTGTATTTTTTTGTAGAGATGAGGTTTCACCATGTTGCCCAGAATATATCTATTTTAACCAGCGGCCTCTTTTTGTTGAGACAGGCAGGGTCTCACTTTGTCATCCAGTCTGGAGTGCATTGCAGCGATCACAGCTCACTGCAGCCTCAACCTCTGGGGCTCAAGCAATCCTCCTGCCTCAGTCCCCCAAGTAGCTGGGACTACAGGCACGCACCACCACATCCGGCTAATTTTCATATGTTTTGTAGAGATGCGGTTTTGCCATGTTGCCCAGGCTGATCTCAAACTCTTGAGCTCAAGCAGTCCACCCTCCTGGGCCTCCCAAAGCACTGGGATTAGAGGTGTGAGCCTCTGTGCCCAGCCACCCCTTTTAAAAACAAAATGATAATATACTATGCATACCATTGTGAACCTTACTTTTCCCCGTCTATATCTTTGAGCTCCTTCCGTATCAGTATAGAAAGCAGTTCCTCCTCTGTTTTACGGCTGTGTGGTGTTCCTCAGCAGGGTGCACCATCGTCTAACCCAGGGGAGGGCAAACTTTCTATAAAGAGTCAGAGAGTAAATATTTTCAGCTGTGCAATCCATACAGTCTCTGACACAGATTTTCAACTTTGCCATTATAGCATGAAAGCATAGACAATATGTAAGTGAATGAGCATGGCTGTATTCCAATAAAACTTTATAAGAACAGGCAAGACTGCACACAATAGCTCATGCCTCTAATCCCAACACTCTGGGAGGCCGAGGTGGGATGATCACTTGAGCCCAGGAGTTTGAGACCAGCCTGGGAAACATAGGGAGACCTCATCTCTACAAAATATTTAAAAACTATCCAGGCATGGTGGTGTACGCCTGTAGTCCCAGCTGCTCAGGAGGCTGAGGTGGGACGATCACCTGAGTCCAGGAAGATGGAGGCTGCAGTGAGCTATGATCACACTACTGCATTCCAGCCTGGACAACAGAGTGAGACCCTATCTCAAAAAAAAAAAAAAAAAAATCCAGCTTATAGTACTTGGAATAGGAAGCACGTCTAATAATGTTTTCCTGAGTCCAAAACTAAAACCCACACATTATGGAGACGTATAGAGAAGAAAATAAATGTCAGTGTATTAGGTTTTTAATCTCTGTATTTATTAATACTATTTTAATGAGGATGCTGGGGTACAGCAGATCCATATTATTACTTACAGGATAATAACCACACCAGTTTGCCCCAATTCTTACTCCTGGGGTGAGAAAATGAGAACCAGCTGTCATCCCACATGTACTTAAGTTTGTACTCTAGGCGAGGACCGCCCCAATTCTGAATCTAGGTGGTTATGTAGGAGAGGGACCTTCTGAGAGAGGAAGGGAAAGAATCTACCTCCCAAGTGTCATGTGGACAGAGACAAGGACGCTGGCTGTTAGCCTCTGGAATGTAGACACATCTCTGGAGGGGGAGGTAAGACTAGTAGCTTTTTTTTTTTCTTTTCCAAGAGACAGGGTCCAGCTCTGTCACCCAGACTGGAGTGCTGTGGCAAGATCCTAGCTTACTGCAGCCTCAAACTCCTGGGCTCAAGGGATCCTCCCAAGTAGCAAGGACTACAGGCTCACACCACCACAGCCGTAATTTTTTCTTGCTGTTGTCAAGATGGTATCTTGCTATGTTGCCCAAGCTGGTCTCAAACTCGTGGTCTCAAGCAATCCTCTCACAGTCCTGGAATTATAGGCATGAGCCACCATGCCCAGCCCCAGCTAATTGCTTTAAAACCCAGCTTTACTGTTCAGGGGCTGTCTCCATGATGTGGGTCTCACCCACCCTTGATGTCTAAACACATAAACCTCCAGGGAAGGAAACCTCTGGGGTTCTCAGTAGCTAATCAGCCATGAGTTGAATTTTCAAGGCTTGTCCTTTAGTCCAGATCTCAGCTTTCAATCAGATATGCTCAGGGTTCCCTAACTGTACAGAAACATAAAAATATTTCCTTTACAGTCCCACATACCAGGAAACTCTTCCCAAAACAAAATTGACTTGAACCATTTCTGGAACAAGGCAAGATACGTATAAATAAATAATAAATTCAAATGTGAACATGAATGTGTATGGGTCTCAATATGCATACATTGGGCATAGCATCCTGATTGTCCAGGTCATTATGTAGTTAAACATAATCACTATGACCTGCATTACCAGCCAAAGGCAAAAATACAGCCACAGCTCTTTTAATTCTCTAAGTAATGGCTCAAGTAATATACCCTCATGATGTTAACAAAGTTAACCAATTATTGATGCATTTATATGTGCCAGGCACCAAGCAAAGATATCTACCAAATTGCATTTGGCCAAACCACTTCATTTGCAGAACAACCCTATGAGATAGTTGCCTTTATAATCCCCATTTTATTAATAGGGAAACCGAGGCTGGGGAGATGAAGCCTCTTGCCTAAGATCGCATAACCGGAAAGTTGCAAAGTCAGAATGTGAGCCCAGATTTCTCTCCAAAGCCACAAGATTAAATGTATTAACATTTGAATGCTTCCTTCCAGGTAGAAATTTTTTAAGAATTAAGATCTACCAGCTGGGTGTGGTGGCTCATGCCTGTAATCCCAGCACTTTTGGGAGGCTGAGGTGGGTGGATTGCTTAAGCCCAGGAGTTAGAGACCAGCCTGGCCAACATGGAAAAACCCCGTCTCTACTAAAGATACAAAAAGTAGACAGACCTGGCATCACACACCTGTAATCCCAGCTACTCAGGAGGCTGAGGCAGGAGAATTGCTTGAACCCAGGAGGTGGAGGTTGCAGTGAGCCAAGATTGTGCCACTGCACTCCAGCCTGGGCAACAAAGCAAGACTCTGTCTTAAAAAAAAAAAAAAAAAAAGAAAAGAAAAAGAAATCTACCAGCTGGGCACAGTAGCTCATGCCTGTAATCCCAGCACTTTGGGAAGCCAAGGCAAGTGGGTTACTTGAACCCAGGAGTTCAAGACCAGCCTAGCCAACATGGCAAAACCCGTCTCTATTAAAACTACAAAAATTAACCCGTCATGGTAGTGCACACCTGTAATCCCAGTTACTCAGGAGGCTGAGATGGGAGGATCAATTGATCCCGGGAGTTGGAGGTTGCTGTGAGCCCTGATTGCACCACTGCACTCCAGCCTGGGTGACAGAGCGAGACCCTGTCTCGAAAAAAAAAAAAAAAAAAAAAAAAAATCGACCATAGACCCAGTTTAGTGAACTGCTGCATTCTGATTTTAACCACTCAAAACCTCTTTGTGTTAGATGTTTTCATTGCTCCCCATTTCAAAAAGAGAAACTGAGCTGGGCACGATGGCTCACTCCTGTAATCCCAGCACTTTGGGAGGCTGAAGCGGGTGGATCACCTGAGGTCAGGAGTTCAAGACCAGCCTGGCCAACATGGTGAAACCCCACCTCTACTAAAAATACAAAAAATAGCTGGGTGTGGTGGTGTGCACTTGTAATCCCAGCTACTTGGGAGGCTGAGGCAGGAAAATCTCGTGAACCCAGGAGGGGCAGCTTGCAGTGAGCCACGATTGTGCCACTGCACTCCAGCCTGGGTGACAAGAGTGAGACTCCATCTCAAAAAAAAAAAAAAGAAAAGAAAAGAAACTGAGACCCAGGGAGAGGAAGTGACTTGCCCAGGGGCTGCAATAACCTGTGGCCTGGGAAAGCACCTTTGCAGATGCCGTGTCTGGGACTCATTCCATACCAGGTGGCATGAGAGTTGGAACAGCTCTTGCCTTCAGACTAGCCAGGCCTGAAGTTAATGTGGCAGACAGAAGTATCTAGAAATGTGTGAAAACCTGCCAGTCCCACCCAGAGAGCCTCTCTCATCCTGCCTTCATAGAGCAGGAATGTTCTGACTCCTCTGGGGGTCCCAGGCACCCCACGAGAACCCAGAACCTCCTCAGAGGGGCATTTCTTCCTGTCCTCTCAGCTCAGGAGTAACCCCAGAGGCTGCTATTTCTTGTCCCCAGCCCAGACAGGGCTCTGTGACTGGTCTTCATAGCTCCAGGACAGGGTCCGGGACTAGGAAGGCAGGACCTGAGGCCCTCGGAGGTCTGCCTCCCCAACCCCTGCCTGAAACAGTGCAGGGAGAAGGTGGAAGTGCAGAGTGGGCTCACCTCTCGCCCACACTGTCCCCTTCTCCCCAGCGAGCTGAGGCTGCCCAGCGGGAGGTGGAAAGTCTCCGGGAACAGCTGGCCTCTGTCAACAGCTCCATCCGCCTGGCTTGCTGCTCTCCCCAGGGGCCCAGTGGGGTAAGGATGGGGTTGGGGAAGTGAGCAGGGAGGGCAGAGGGAAAGATCGGGAATGGCTGAGTTTGCAGGTTTCAGCATGTGGGTGACACTTTGTGGTTGATTGTGTGCATCCATTTGAAACTGGGAGTGTGAATGTGTGTGGGTCTCTGTGCATACGGTGAGCATAATCACTATGACCTGCTACACCAGCTGAGGATAAAAATACAGCTACAGTTCTTTACTTTTCAAGCCCACGTTTCCATATACCCTTTATTACCAGGAGTTCCAGTATCTTCCTTTGGAGGCCTCCCTTATCCCCAATTATCCAAGAATGCCAGGAACTTCCTCAGACCAAAGATCATTCTGATTTCCAGATGCACCAGCAAAGACATGGGGGAGAGGGAGTTTGAGGCAATACAGCAGCATGCAGTTTTGGTGGCTGCCACCAGGTGTCGCTGTTGAACACCGGTCATAGCAGCTTTGTGCATGCTTGGGATGGTGATGCCCCTGCTGGTTTTCAGTCCCAAAACTGGGTACTTTTAGGAGTGTGAGCCAGCCAACATATCAACAGGCAGTCATCACCAGGACTGCAGTGGGGCCACATACCAAGATAAAATTTAACATTCATACTCAGCCATTGGTTTCCAAAGCATGCCAGGTGATTCTAGGGGGATTTCCCACCCCAGCCACATGCTATGAAGAGCCAGTCTTCGGTGATCAACCCTGAGGTTCTTGTGTTAGGCCTGATTAATCAATTCATCTTTCTCTTTCCTCCTGGTTTGTGCCTCTTTGGGGTCCTAGTGTCATTTCTTGACAAGAGACTTTCATCAAGGCCACCCCAACCTACCCTTCTGTCCTATATTAGCAGTCTCCATCCTGGCTCTCCCAGAGAGCCTTGGGTTCATTATGTGAATTGGTCTGCCTTATTTCCAGATCTCTACATACCAAGGGGTGAGATTCATGATTCCTTACATAATAACAGGTCTGCTCCAGGGTGACTTCCCTCTCCACCCATGAACCTGAACTTGCGAGCATAATTTTCACTTCACCTGACACCCACATATACAGGCCCAGGTGTCTATGTCTCTCTTTCTGTTTGAATATTGGAATGAGTCTCTATGAATGTGTTACTGTGTATGTGTGTCTCTACTTGTGACCTTTGGGCAACTGACTGTATTCTTAACCTGACTGTGCCTCAGTTTCCTCATCTGTACAATTAACATCTACTTTATAGGGTTATTAAAAGGATTACATGAGTCAGGCATGGTGGCACATGCCTGTAGTCCCAGCCTCTTAGGAGGCTGAGGCAGGAGGATCACTTGAGCCCAGGAGTTTGAGTCCAGCCTGGGCAATACAGCAAGATCCTGTCTCTGAAAAAAAAAATGGATTATGTGTAAAGTGCCTAAAATGGTGCTTGGGTCATTGTATATGCTCACTAAGTACTTGATGCTACTGTTATAATTGTTAATGTGTCTTTGGTGTGTCTGGGGTGTTTTTGCTCATGAGAGCATGTGGCTTCTTTGAGCACGCGCATGTCTGTTGTGTGTGATGATGTGTCCTTGTGAGTGTCTCTCTTTGATGCGTGTGTATTTGTGTGTGTGTGTCAGCATATTTGGGAAACTGCATGTGTTAGTGTGTGCTGTGGCTATAGGTGTGTCCTTGTGTGTCAGCCTGTGTCTGTGTCCCAGGAGATTCTGTGTGTGTCCATGTTCCTGGGTGACGGCATAACACAGAGAGAGTGAACACAGGAGAGAGAGGCTGTGTGGAGAGAGATGGAGAGTGAGAGCCCATGAGGATGCCTCGTAGAGGAATTTGCCAATGGTTCTTAATTAACCCCCGTGGAACCCGGCAAATGCCTGTGCTAATCAGCCCCAGGGAACTTTGCTGGTTTGGGGGGTGTGCTTTTCTGAGCACAACAGTGGCACTCGATGCTAATTAATTTAATGTATTAATGGCATCCGCTTCCTGTTTTAATTGGCATTTATCTCCATGGAAGAAAGCTGGGGTTGGGTTGGGGCTTTTTGTTTGTTTGGTTTTTTTTTTTTTTTAATGTTTCTTAGATTTATTTGTAACTAAGCCTGACATCAGCCTGACTTCAGGTTCCTCAAACAGCAACCTCTCCATCTTCATCCAGGACAGAGGGTCCATTTCCTAAAATGTGGAGAAGCCATGGGTCTTGGGGCTATCAGCAAATTAGGCGGAGGAAAGAGCCGCCCATAACGTGGTCCGTGGCTCCAAGGTGTCAAGTCTAATCCTGAGGGTCCCTTATTGCCTAGAATGGGGACATCCCCCTGGAGTAGGAGCCAGACCTGAGAAAGAAACTCAAACTTTTACCTATGCTGTTTCCTCTGGTGCGAGCACCCAATCCCCAACCTCAGCTGACTCCTTCCTTTTGTCATGGCTATTCTTTTTTAATAAATCTTTTAATCAAAGTGTAACTTAATACATAAGGAAAAGTGTACAAGTCATAAGTATACAACACTTTGAATTTTTCAACACAAGCACACCCCATACCATCATCCAGATCAACAAATTTGCATTCTGCTTGGGATTCAGGGGTGGGGAGGCCAGACCTGTGGACCCCCATCCCTCACCTCTCAGCCCCTCAAAGACCCCTTTGCCTGCAGGATAAGGTGAACTTCACTCTGTGCTCGGGCCCTCGGCTGGAGGCCGCGCTGGCCTCCAAGGACAGGGAGATCCTGCGGCTGCTGAAGGACGTGCAGCACCTCCAGAGCTCACTGCAGGAGCTGGAGGAGGCATCCGCCAACCAGATCGCCGACCTGGAGCGGCAGCTCACGGCCAAGTCCGAGGCCATAGAAGTGGGTCCTGGGGAGGAGGCAGGCGGGCAGGCGGCCCCATGCAGAAGCACACAGACCAGCCTCACCATCTTTCTTTGCTCTTCTAGAAGCTGGAAGAGAAGCTCCAGGCCCAGTCTGACTATGAGGAAATTAAAACGGAGCTGAGGTACCATGTGGGGTGGGGCTCCACAGACCCTCAGTGCTCTTCCCTGGCCAGGAGCTCTTGGCAAAGTTCATCATCTTCCTCCCTCCTACTAAACCCCATTTGTTCTTCTCTCCACTAACACTGTGGATATCAAACCTTAACCATCCTCAGGCCAGGTGCAGTGGCTCATCCCTGTAATCCCAACACTTTGGGAGGCCCAGGCAGGAGGATCGCTTGAGGTCAGGAGTTTGAGACCAGCCTGGGCAACAATGGGGAGACCCCATCTCTGTGAGAAAAAAACAATTTTAATTAGCCAGGAGTGGTGGTGATGCGTGCTGTAGTCCCAGCCACTCAGGAGGCTGATGTGGGAGGATTGCTTGAGCCTGAGAGGTCAAGGCTGCAGTGAGCTGTGGTGGCACCACTGCACTCCAGCCTGGACAACACAGTGAGACCCTGTCTCAAAAACAAAACGAAATTCAACCATCTTCAGTCCTTTTCCATTAAGAGCTGCCTGTACGGGCAGATCACCTGAGGTCAGGAGTTCAAAACCAGCCTGGCCGAAAGGGCAAAACCCTGTCTCTACTAAAAATACAGAAATTAGCCAGGTGTGGTGGCGCTCACCTGTAGTCCCAGCTACTTGGGAGGCTGAGGCAGGAGAATCGCTTGAACCTGGGAGGCAGAGATCGTGCCACTGCACTCCAGCCTGGGTGACAGAGTGAGACTCCATCTCAAAGAAAAAAAGAAGCTGCCTGTAGACCATACAAGGGAACTTATTATAGGCATGGTAACTGGAAGGTGATTCATTAACCAGCTAAACTCAAGCTGGCCAGAATGGGTCAGTTCAGGCAGCACCCCTCCAGGTAACATCGCCACCTGTTAATGAGCCTGCTACTTCAGGCCTGGGGTTGCAATGACTCTGGAATTAATGGGGTTCTGGGGAATGGAGCAGTCATTGTCAGGGAGGTAAGCCGGGTCAGTGCCTCTTGAAAGACCTCTCCTCCAGCCCGGGGGCTGGCTGACCTCAGACCCTCTCCACTTGCTCTGGCAGCATCCTGAAAGCCATGAAGCTGGCCTCCAGCACCTGCAGCCTCCCCCAGGTAAGTGTCCCTGCCACCATCCCTGCAGGGCAGGCTGCCCCAGTGAGCCTTCCGCCCACCAGGTGCCCTCTCAACCTGCCTCTTGTCTCCTAGGGCATGGCCAAGCCTGAAGACTCACTGCTTATTGCAAAGGAGGCCTTCTTCCCCACGCAGAAATTCCTTCTGGAGAAGCCCAGCCTCCTGGCCAGCCCTGGTAGGGGAGGAGGATACTCTGGGGCTGAGGGCTGGGGCGGGGGCTGCCTGTGGGTCTCTGGCCTTCTCATGCCCAAGGACCACTGCCTTCCATGCAGGCAGGAGAACGACAGAACAACAGGTGTGCATTGATTTGGCACCTGCTGTATGCCTGTCCTGCAGGGCATCCACAAACACCCACGTCATCGTTGGGGTCACACAGCTGGTTTGGGCCCTTCCAAGGCCCCCTAAAGAGCTCCACTCCCCACTGAGCCTTCTTGAGCTGCAGCGGCTTTCATGAAGTGGTCACAGGGGGACAAGCAGGGCATTGTCATTACACCCCCCACAGCCGACCACTGTGGGGAGCAGTAGGCTGCGGACATGATCACCCTGTCAGCCACCCGCTGACTTTTTTTTTGAGACCGAGTCTCTCTCTGTCGCCCAGGCTGGAGTGCAGTGGTGTGATCTCGGCTCACTGCAGCCTCCGCCTCCTGGGTTCAAGCAATTCACCTGCCTCGGCCTCCTGAGTAGCTGGGATTACAGGCATGCACCACCACACCCAGCTAAGTTTTATATTTTTAGCAGAGATGGGGTTTCATCACATTGGCCAGGCTGGTCTCAAACTCCTGACCTCAGGTGATCCGCCTGCCTCAGCCTCCCAAAGTGCTGGGATTACAGGCATAAGCCACCGCACCCAGCCACCCACTGAACTTTTAGCCTTGTGGCCCCAGGCAGGACACTGTGCTGCCTCTGTTTCCTCATCCATAAAATGGGTGTGACCTTGGGGCCCACTTCATGGGTGCCATGTAGGTCTAGTGAGTCAGCTCCAGGGTGGGTGCCCAGCAAGGGCCCATCTGCAGGTGGTGGCAAGTTCGACTTCCCACCCCAGGCCAAGGTGCTGGGCCCATAGCAAGTTCTCAGCTGATGCTCTTGGTGATGGGGGTGGGGCGCTCCCCAGAACTGGCATTTGGATGGGGCCTGGAAGAGTGGGAGTTGGAGAATGGAGGGGGTAGGGCAGAAAGAGCCAAGGTCGGCGCTTCCAGCTGCTGGACGCCTATAGCACTGCTCCCCACCCCCACCTCCCCACCAACCCCTTCCCTCCTCCTCCTCCTTCCTTCCTCTATTTCTGACTTTCTGTCTCTATATATGTCTCTGTCTCTCTCTGTCTCTTCCCCCCCGACCCTCTCCCTGCCTCTCTCTGTCATGTGGTTTTTCACTCTGTCTCTTTGTCTCTTTATCTCTCTCTCTCTCTCTCATGTGGTCTCTCTGTCTTGCTCTCCCTCTCTCTCTCTCTGTCCCTCTCATGTGATTTCTCTCTCTGTCTCTCTCATTGTCTCTTTCTTTCTCTCACATGTGGTCTCTGTCTCGCTCTCCCTCTCTCTCTCTGTCTCTCTGATGTGGTTTCTCTCTCTGTCTCTCTTTCTCGTTGTCTCTCTCTGTCTCTCTCCCCCTCTGGTTCTTTTTCTCCCTGTCTCTCTCTCCCCTCATCATCGTCTTCCCCGTCTGTCTGTCTGTCTGTCTGTCTGGGTGTTCTAGAGGAAGACCCATCAGAGGACGATTCCATCAAGGATTCACTGGGCACGGAGCAGTCCTACCCCTCCCCTCAGCAGCTCCCACCTCCACCAGGGCCAGAAGACCCCCTGTCTCCCAGCCCCGGGCAGCCCCTGCTGGGCCCCAGCTTGGGGCCTGACGGCACTCGGACTTTCTCGCTGTCCCCCTTCCCCAGCCTGGCATCAGGGGAGAGACTGATGATGCCCCCAGCCGCCTTCAAGGGAGAGGCGGGCGGCCTGCTGGTGTTCCCCCCAGCCTTCTATGGCGCCAAGCCCCCCACAGCCCCTGCCACCCCGGCCCCTGGCCCTGAGCCACTGGGCGGTCCTGAGCCCGCGGATGGTGGTGGGGGCGGAGCGGCGGGGCCCGGGGCAGAGGAGGAGCAGCTGGACACGGCAGAGATCGCCTTCCAGGTGAAGGAGCAGCTGCTGAAACACAACATCGGGCAGCGGGTGTTTGGGCATTACGTGCTGGGGCTGTCGCAGGGCTCGGTCAGCGAGATCCTAGCCCGGCCCAAGCCCTGGCGCAAGCTCACGGTGAAGGGCAAGGAGCCCTTCATCAAGATGAAGCAGTTCCTGTCGGATGAGCAGAATGTACTGGCGCTCAGGACCATCCAAGTGCGGCAGCGAGGTGAGTGCCCAAGAGGGCCCGTCCCCGCTGGCCACCACGCCAGGTCCAGGGCATCAGGGCTGGGGGCTGAGGACACGCGCTCTGGGTTCAAAGCCCAGCTCTACCACCACCTGGCTGTGTGACCCAGGGCCAGTGGCTTTGCCTGTCTGTGCCTCAGTTTCCCCTCTGTAAAAGCAGGAAATACATCCTCGCTCTCTCCTTCCTGGCCCTGGCCAGAGACAGTCTGCCCTTCCTGGGGCACTCAGGGTAAGGGTGGCGGGAAAAGGCTCCAGGCGCTGCCCTGGCAGGTATTCATCCAGCACTTCCAAGCCTCAGTTTATACATTTGTAAGACCGCCAACCTTACCAGACTTGATTTTTCAGGTAATCAGTATGAAGGGTCCCAGCTGTGGCCTCACAAATGCCTGAGTTTGAGTCCCAGCTCTGCTGTTCACCCACTGGGTGACCTCAGACAACTCCTTTCACCTGTGCCCCGGTTTCTGCATCTGTCAGCCTCCAGGAGGCACCATGAGGATTAAACGGGCATCAAGCACTGACCACAGCACCTGGCATGCAGTGCTGCTTGAGAACTGTTAGGGGTGGTGGTTGCCATAGTCATTGTCGTCATCATTTCTTTTTTTTTTTGAGATGGAATCTCACTCTGTCACCCAGGCTGGAGTGTAGTGGCACAAGCTCAGCTCACTGCAACCTCTGCCTCCTGGGTTAAAGCAATTCTGCTGTCTCAGCCTCCCTAGTAGCTGGGATTACAGTCACAACGCCACCATGCCTGGCTAATTTTTACATTTTTAGTAGAGACAGGGTCTCACCATAGTGATCAGGCTGGTCTCAAACTCCTGATCTCAGGTAATCCACCCGCCTTGGACTCCCAAAGTGCTGGGATTACAGACATAAGCCACTGTACCCTATTTCTTTATTATTATTATTTTTTTTTTTTTGAGACGGAGTCTTGTTCTGTTACTCAGGCTGGAGTGCAGTGGCACAATCTTGGCTCACTACAACCACCGCCTCCTGGGTTCAAGCGATTCTCCTGCCTCAGCCTCCTGAGTAGCTGGGATTACAGGTGCAAGCCACCATGCTTGGCTAATTTTGTATTTTTAGTAGAGACAGGATTTCACCATGTTGGCCAGGATAGCCTCAAACTCCTGACCTAAAGTGATCCTCCCACCTCGGACTCCCAGAGTGCTGGGATTACAGGCATGAGCCACTGTGCCTGGCCTCGTTATTATGATTCTTATTTCACACCAGAATCACTCACAGGCCCACAGTTTGTTACATAGACTAAGCAGTGGCCCTGCCATCTCACTGATGGTCTGACCCTCACTCTTCTGGGAGGAGGAGACAGCCCCCCTACCCCACCAGGCTCCGGAGACTGAGCCCAACATGCAGATCCTGCCACAGATGCCTTCTTGCCTCCCCAGGCAGCATCACCCCGAGAATCCGCACGCCTGAGACAGGCTCAGACGACGCCATCAAGAGCATTCTAGAGCAGGCCAAGAAGGAGATCGAGTCGCAGAAGGGCGGTGAGTGTGACCCCTGCAGGCAAAGCCTGAGGCCCCCGGGGCCAGCTGCGAACAGGAGATGAGGCTTCGTCTACCTTTGTCCACCCCAGAGGGAATCCAAGGTGGATCAGAACCACCAGAGGCCAGAGGGACCTGTCTAGAGCGCATGGGTAGCTGTGGCACTGCTCAGAACCCTGCCATGGTTCCACACAGCTCTCAACATAAAATCTCAACCCTTGGCCAGGCGCAGTGGCTCATGCCTGTAATCCCAGCACTTTGGGAAGCCAAGGCAGGCTGATCACCTGAGATCAGGAGTTCGAGACCAGCCTGGCCAACATGGTAAAACCCCATCTCTACTAAAAATACAAAATTACCTGGGCATGGTGATATGTGCCTGTAATCCCAGCTACTTAGAAGGCTGAGGCAGGAGAATTGCTTGAACCCGGGAGGCGGAGGTTGCAGTGAGCCGAGATCACACCACTGCACTCCAGCCTAGGTGACAAAGCAAGACTCTGTCAGAAAAAAAAAAAGAAAAATATCCCAAGACTCGACAAGGCCTACAGGCCCTACAGTCTTCAGGCCCCTCCATGCCTGTCACATGAACTGTTCATAGTCATGCCCAGCTGCCGTGCACTCCACCCTGCGCCTCTGATGCTGTCCTTACCCCAGACACCTTTCACCTGGCCAACTCCTACTCATACCTATGACTCAACTCAGAAGTCACCTCCTGCAAGAAGATGGGTTGGACACTGCACCCGCTTCCCTCCACCCCCACCACAGTGACCTGTTTGCTTGGTGTAGTGGAGCTGGACTGGCCACAAATTCTGGCTCTGCTGTTTATTGGCTATGTGACCTTGGGCAAGTTACTTAGCCTCTTTGTGCCTTCATCGTCTTTGTTTGAGACAGATTCTCACTCTGTCACCCAGGCTGGAGTGCAGTGGCGCAGTCTCAGCTCACTGCAACCTCCACCTCCTTGGTTCAAGCAATTCTCCTGCCTCAGCCTCCTGAGTAGCTGGGATTACACGCACGCGCCACCACACCTGGCTAATTTTTTTTTTTTTTGTATTTTTAGTAGAGATGGGGTTTCACCATGTTGGTCAGGCTGCTCTTGAACTCCTGACCTCGTGATCCACCTGCCTCGGCCTCCCAAAGTGCTGGGATTACAGGCGTGAGCCACCGTGCCCCGCCCATCTTCTCATCTTTAAAATGGGGACTGTGGGAGGCCGAGGCGGGCGGATCACCTGAGGTCAGGAGTTAGAGACAAGCCTGCCCAACATGGCGAAACCCTGTCTCTACTAAACATACAAAAAAATTAGCTGGGCGTGGTGGCGCACGCCTGTAATCCCAGCTACTCAGGAGGCTGAGGCAGGAGAATCTCTTGACCACAGGAGGCAGAGCTTACAGTGAGCCGAGATCACACCACTGCACTCCAGCCTGGGTGACAAAAGCAAAACTCCATCTCAAAAAGAAAAAAAAAAATGGGGACTGTATTAGTTTTCCTTTCTTAGGGTTGTGTGAGGATCAAATGAGGTCAGTGTAATCCTGAAAGATCAGCCATCATTACAGCAAATATTATCATTATTACCTCCCTGTTGCAGTTCTGCGCTGTCACAAACGACTCTGCTGGTGTGGCTGTCCCTCCGTCTGCTGTGGGGGCTTCTTGCAGCCAGGGACCGAGTTCCATCCTCACACCCAGCACAGCGTAGACTGACTGAGACCCTGGACTCCGGTTTCAAAGCCCTCTTCCATTTTTGCAGTGTCTGCTGCCCCCTGGTGGCTGCTCCGAGCAGGTGTCCTGAATCCCTCCAGTTGCCGCCAGGAGCCGAGATGTTTCCCAATCAATGGCCCTCCCTCCTGCCTGGTCCCCGGGAGGGGTGAGGGGATAAGGGATTACCCGGCTACCCTGCCCCACCTGTAAAATCCCCTGAGCCTAATTTCCCTCTTGGTCAGTTCCAGTAGCAAGAGAGATGCAAGACAGAGAAGGATGTAATTATGCAGTAAACATTTATTAAGCACCTACTGTGGTCTAGACACAGATTTCAGATATGGGTGAGACATGATATGGAGATGAAAAGAACCATGAGAAATAACTAGCCAGGGCTGGGTGTGGCAGCTAACTCCTGACCTCGTGATCCACCTGCCTCGGCTCCCAAAGTGCTGGGATTACAGGCGTGAGCCACCGTGCCCAGACCATCTTCTCATCTGGGCCTCTGGGAGGCCGAGGCCAAGGCGGGCAGATCACCTGAGGTCAGGAGTTTGAGACTAGCCTGGACAACATGGTGAAACCCCGTCTCTGCTAAAAATACAAAAATTGGCTGGGCATGGTGGTAGGTGCCTGTAATCCCAGCTATTTGGAGGCTGAGGCAGGAGAATTGCTTGAACCTGGGAGGCAAAGGTTGCAGTAAGCGGAGATCACACCACTACACTCCAGCCTGCGCAACAAGAGCAAAACTCAGTCTAAAAAAAAAAAAAAAAAAAAAAAAAAAAACCCCATCTCCTCTAAAAATACAAAAATTAGCTAGGTGTGGTGGCACACACCTGTGGTCCCAGCTACTCAAGAGGCTGAGGCAGGAGGATCACCTGAGCCCAGGAGGCAGAGGTTGTAGTGAGCCGAGATCTCATCACTACACTCCAGCCTGGGTGAGAGTGAGATGCTGTCTCAAAAAAAAATAATAGAAAAAGAAATAACTAGCCAAAGTCTCCCACTAAACCGACAGGACAACTGAGGCTAGGGAGGGAAGACATGAGTTCAGTTACACAGAGACAGAGGGAAACCCCAGGTCTCTCACCTCTTTATACAGCACTTTCTCCTGGGGGTCGGAAGCAGGCACCAGGGCAATGTCAAAGACAGCATCGCAGCAGAGGAAAACGTTTGCTCTCCATGGGCCAGCCAGTAGTCTTATATTCAGGGTCTAGGAGTTCAGCAAGAGGAAAAATACAAAGGTTATTGCCCCATACCCCTGGCAAAAAAAATGAATGCTAAGCAGTGGGCACATGAGCCGCTGCCAGGGAGGAAATGAATGTGACTAACTGCTCAATCACGAGTTCTACTTCTGGGATTGGAAGGAAATGTCCAGAATGGGGACAGGGGTTTATATATAAGCTGTTCCATCATTGTTCATAAGAGTGACAAACTGGAAACAAAACAACCTAAGTGTCCAGCAGTGGGGGATCTGGTAAGTAAAGCAGATAATATCCCTTTAGCAGCATGTGCAGCCCTTAAAGGTAGAACTTTTAATGATAAGAAAAAATGGGGCCGGGCACAGTGGCTCACGCCTGTATAATCCCAACACTTTGGAAGGCCAAGACAGATGGATCACTTGAGGTCAGGAGTTGGAGACCAGCCTGGACCACATGGCAAAACCCCATCTCTACTAAAAATACAAAAATTAGCCAGGCATGGTAGTAGGAACCTGTAATCCCAGCTACTCAGGAGGCTGAGGCAGGAGAACCACTTGAACCTGGAAAGCAGAGGTTGCAGTGAGCCGAGATCGCGCCATTGCACTCCAGCCTGGGCAACAGAGCAAGACTCGGTCTCAAAAAAAAAGAAAAAATTTAGCTGGGCATAGTGGCAAATGCATGTAGTCCCAACTACTTGAGAGGCTGAGGCAGGAAGATCGCTTAAACCCAGGAGTTTGAGACTAGCCTGGGCAACATACCAAGACCCTGTCTCCAAAAAAGAAAAAAAGAAAAAAAACACTCATGTTGATACTAAATGGGGACAAACCAGACTACACTTCCACATATCGAGTATGATCATGCGATGCATGTAGTTTAGAAAACAGACTGGAAGGGAATACATGAGAATATTTCACGTGGTTGCTCCTAAGAGACAGTAAGGGTGACTTTCATTTTGATCTTGACTTTTTGTGCTTTTTTTTGCATGCTCCTCTGTGCTCCCATAGTAGGCAAGTATGAGTTTTTTTTAATCGAGGTAAAATTCTCATAACATAAAATTAAGCTTTTTTTTTTTTTTTTGAGACAGAGTTGTGCTCTTGTTGCCCAGACTGGAGTGCAGTGGCGCAATCTCGGCTCACCACAACCTCCGCCTCCTGGGTTCAAGTGATTCCGCCTCAGCCTCCCGAGTAGCTGGGATTACAGGCATGTGCCACCACGCCCGGTTAATTTTTTTTTTTTTAATTTTTAGTAGAGACGGGGTTTCTCCGTGTTGGTCAGGCTGGTCTCAATCTCCTGACCTCAGATGATCCGCCTGCCTCAACCTCCCAAAATGCTGGGATTACACGCTTGAGCCACCGCGCCCGGCACTTCTTTTTTTTTTTTTTTTTTGACAGAGTCTTTAGCTCTGTCGCCCAGGCTGGAGTGCAGTGGTGTGATCTCGGCTCACTGCAACCTCCACTTCCCAGGTTCAAGCAATTCTCCTGCCTCAGCCTCCTGAGTAGCTGGGATTACAGGTGCGTGCCACCACGCCCAGCTAATTTTTGTATTTTTAGTAGAGACGGGGTTTCACCACGTTGGCCAGACTGGTTTCAAATTCCTGAGGTCAAGTGATCGGCCTGCCTCAGTCTCCCAAAGTGCTGGGATTACAGACGTGAACCACCACGCCCGGCCAAAATTAACCATTTTAAAGTGTACAATTCAGTAGTAGTTAGTATAGTCAGTGTTATGCAACCATCATCTCTCTCCAGTTCACACATGTTCATCACCCCAGAAGGAAACCCTATACCCATTAAGCAGTGCTTCTCCTTTCCACTCTCCCCCCAGCCCCTGGAAACCACTGATCTGCATCCTGTTTCTGTGGATTGACCTGTTCTGCACATTTTGTGTAAATGGAATCATATCATATGTGCTACCTTGCGTCTGGCCTCTTTCACTCAGCCCCATGTTTGTAAGGCTTATTCCTGTTGTAGCCCCTGTTAGTGCTTCATTCCTTTTTATGACAAAATAATGTTCCATTGCTATATTACTTTTTAATTGGAAAAGCAATGAAAATTATTTTTAATGGGTCTAAGAGGACCCACTAGGATGAAAGCTACACAGAGATAATGAAGAAGGGGTTACATTGATCTGGCTTTCTGCAGAGCTAGAGAGACTCTGGTGTCGGGAACGCTTCTCTGAGGGCAGAGGGAAGCACCTTTTCATTTACTGGTTAATTGTCATTCCTCAGGGCACAGATCCATCTATTATCCTTGGTTCATGACACACTCTCAGGGCTGCCGCCTGCATGGCCTTCTCTCAGGTGTCTGTGTGTATGTGTGTACACACGTGCATATATATATATGTGTATATATGTGTGTGTATATTCATGCATTCATTCATTCGTTCACTCATGTAAATGACAGAATGAACCTCTGGGAACATATTGCCCAACCCAAGATTTAGAAAATTCCCAATAACTGAGATCTGGCATTTTCCTCCCCATCCCACCCCTGCCTTCCTCTCCCAGAGATGTCTTTCATCCTAAAATTTTGTCCTGTTGTTCCTTTGTGTTTGCCATTTGTAGAAAAGGTTTTTCACTAAATCATATAGTGTTTATGTTATTTGTTATGGAACTTGATAGAAAACATGTGATACCGACCGGGCGCGGTGGCTCACACCTGTAATCCTAGCACTTTAGGAGGCCAAGGTGGGCAGATCATTTGAGCTCAGGAGTTTGAGACCAGCCTGGCTAACATGGTGAAACCCGATCTCTACTAAAAATACAAAAAAAAATTAGCCAGGCCTGGTGGCGAGTGCCTGTAATCCCAGCTACTCGGGAGGCTGAGGCAAGAGAATTGCCTGAACCTGGGAGGCAGAAGTTGAGGTGAGCTGAGATCACGCCACTGCACTCCAGCCTGGGCAACAGAACAAGACTCAGTCAAAAAGAAAAAAGAAAAAAGAAAACGTGATACTGAGTGCCATCTTATTGGACTTGTTTTTGTTGTTGTTGTTGTTGTTATTGTTGTTGTTTTTTGAGATAGGCTCTCACTCTGTTGCCCAGGCTGGAGTGCAGTGGTGCAAACATGGCTCACTGCCACCTCGACCTCCCAGGATCAAGTGATCCTCCTGCCTCAGCTGGGACCGTAGGCATACACCACCATGCCTGGCTAATTTTTTTTTCTTTTTTCTTTTTTTTTTTTTTTTCACTTTTTTGTAGAGTCAGGGTCTCATTTTGTAGCCTAGGCTGGTCTTGAGCTCCTGGGCTCCAGTAATCCTCCTGCCTCACCCTCCCAAAGTGCTGGGATTATAAGCATAAGCCACTGCTCCCAGCCTTCACCTGCTTTTTTCACTCAATATTATGTTATTAGGATTCACACAAAGGGCACGGTAGCTCATACCTGTAGTCCTAGCTACTCGGGAGGCTGAGGCAGGAGAACCACTTGAGCCCAGGAGTTTGAGACCACAGAGAGCTATGATCGCACCTGAGATCGAGCCACTGCACTCCAGCCTGGGAAGCATAGCAAGACCACATCTCTTTTTTTAAAAAAAAAAAAAGATTCATATCTGATTTTGCATAAGGACTTCCTTTTTCACTGCTGCATAGTGTTCCATTGTGTGATCATCCCACTATTTTTTTTTCTAGAGATGGATGTCTCATTCTGTCACCCAGGTCGGAGTGCAATCTTGGTTCACTGCAGCCTCGAATTCCCAGGCTCAAGCAATGCTCCCAACTCAGACCCTGAGGTACAGGTGTGAGCCACCACGCCTGGCTAATTTTTGTATTTTTTGCAGAGACTGAGTTTTGCCATGTTGCCCAGGCTGGTCTCGAACTCCTAAACTCAGACAATTTGACTGCCTCAGCCTCCCAAAGTGCTGGGATGACAGGTGTGAGTCACTGTGCCTGGCCCATCCCACTGTTTTTGATCCATTCTCTGCATGGGCATTTGGATTCATTGCTATTAGAACAAGTGAAGGGCTGGGCACAGTGGCTCGAGCCTGTAATCTCTACACTTTGGGAGGCTGAGGAGGGCAGATCACTTGAGCCCAGGAGTTTGAGACCACCCTGGGCAATATGGCAAAACCCCGTCTCTACAAAAAATACAAAAATTAGCTGAGCATGGTGGCACATGCTTGTAGTCCCAGCACTTTGGGAGGCCCAGGCAGGAGAATCACTTGAAGCCAGGAGTTTGAAACCAGCCTGGGCAACATGGCAAGACCCCATCTCTATGAAAGAAAGGAAGGAAGAAAGGGAAGGGAAATGAGGAAGGAAAGAAATATTTTTAAAGAATTTTTTTTTTAAAACAGAACAAGTGAACAAGCCACTTTTCTGTGCCTTCGTGTTTTCTTTGTCTTTGAACATTTACATGGTTGGATCATTGCCTATGTAAAAGTCAGGTCAGGCCGGGCACTGTGGTTCATGCCTGTCATCTCAGCACTTTGGGAGGCTGAGGTGTAGATCACTTGAGCTCAGGAGTTCAAGACCAGCCTGGCCAACATGGCAAAACCCTGTCTCTACTAAAGCTAAATAGCTGGGCATGGTGGTGCACACCTGTAATCCCAGCTACTCAGGAGGCTGAGGTAGGAGAATTGCTGGAAGTGGGGAGGCAGAGGTTGCAGTGAGCTGAGATCGTGCCATTGCACTCCATCCTGAGCACCAGAGTGAGACTCCATCTCAAAACAAAACAAAACAAAAGTCAGGTCTGTGTTTGCATTGCATTATCCGCATGAGCATGTTCTCTGCATATGCCAAAACCTCACTGTCAACCGAATTTTGGGTGGCTGCCTAATATTCTGCCACAGGGAGGGATCATAATTTAGTTAGCCAATCCCCAGTTGCTGGACACAGAGGTTGCCTGGACACCGTGCTGGCATCAACAGGGATGCTGTGAACATCGTCCCCTGCATGCCGAGCCCTGACCCTGGGCCTCGGGCCGTCCTGTCCCCCTCCCCGCAGGCGAGCCCAAGACCTCGGTGGCCCCGCTGAGCATCGCCAACGGCACGACCCCCGCCAGCACCTCGGAGGACGCCATCAAGAGCATCCTGGAGCAGGCACGCCGTGAGATGCAGGCGCAACAGCAGGCGCTGCTGGAGATGGAGGTGGCGCCCAGGGGCCGCTCGGTGCCCCCCTCGCCCCCGGAGCGGCCATCACTGGCCACCGCGAGCCAGAACGGGGCCCCGGCCTTGGTGAAGCAGGAGGAGGGCAGCGGGGGCCCCGCGCAGGCGCCGCTCCCGGTCCTGTCCCCCGCCGCCTTCGTGCAGAGCATCATCCGCAAGGTCAAGTCCGAGATCGGCGACGCCGGCTACTTCGACCACCACTGGGCCTCCGACCGCGGCCTGCTCAGCCGCCCCTACGCCTCCGTGTCGCCCTCGCTGTCCTCCTCCTCCTCCTCTGGCTACTCTGGCCAGCCCAACGGCCGCGCCTGGCCCCGCGGGGACGAGGCCCCTGTGCCCCCCGAGGACGAGGCGGCGGCAGGGGCGGAGGACGAACCCCCCAGGACGGGCGAGCTCAAGGCTGAGGGCGCGACGGCCGAGGCGGGCGCGCGGCTGCCCTACTACCCGGCCTACGTGCCGCGCACCCTGAAGCCCACCGTGCCGCCGCTGACCCCCGAGCAGTACGAGCTGTACATGTACCGTGAGGTAGACACGCTGGAGCTCACCCGCCAGGTCAAGGAGAAGCTGGCCAAGAACGGCATCTGCCAGAGGATCTTCGGGGAGAAGGTGAGTGCAGGGCGGGCCCCCGGTGTCTGGGCTCTGGGAGAAGATGTCGGAGAAGTAGGATGCCCACCCAAGCAGGCTGGCGGGACCCCAGGGGCCCAGGCCCTTCATTCCTGAGTCCTGCTGTCCCTGGGTCCCGCAGGAAGGAGGGCCACTGTTCTGCTCCGTGGTTGTTAAAACCAGGAAATGCTTCCATCCTGGCCAGCAAACAGCCACTTAACTCCCCTCCTCCAGGCCCCTCCAGATCGCCTGAGGTCCAGCCACTAAAGGGTTAAGTGGCAGGACTTGGTGGCTCACGCCTGTAATCCCAGCACTTTGGGAGACGGAGGTGGGAAGATCTCTTGAGCCCAGAAGTTTGAGACCAGCCTGGCCAACGTGGTGAAACCCCGTCTCTACTAAAAAATACAAAAATTAAGCTGGGCACGGTGGCTCACACCTGTAATCCCAGCACTTTGGGAGGCTGAGGCGGGCAGATCATGAGATCAAGAGATCAAGACCATCCTGGCCAACATGGTGAAACCCCATCTCTACTAAAAATATAAAAATTAGCTGGGCTTGGTGTCCTGTGCCGGTATAGTCATGGCTACTTAGGAGACTGAGGCAGGAGCATCACTTGAACCTGGGAGGCAGGGGTTGCAGCGAGCCAAGATCTCGCTACTGTGCTCCAGCCTGGGTGACAGAACGATACTCCATCTCAAAAGAAAAAAAAAAAAGTGTTTGGGATCAGCCTGGGCAATGTAGCAAGACCCCCATCTCTACAAAATAAAAAAAATTAGCCAAGTGTGGTGGTGCACAGCTACTCAGGAGGCTGAGGTGGGAGAATTGCTTGAACCCAGGTGGTCGAGGCTACAGTGAGCCATGATCACACCAGTGCACTCCAGCCTGGGCAACAGAGCAAGACCTCATCCCCCCAAAAATAAATAAAAATTTAAAAAGAAAGGGTTAAATAAAGCTCACCCTAGCCAGGGGACCTCAGTGTTTCCTGATTGGTTGGTGCCCCTGCAATGCCAGTTTTAAGTGTCACCTCTACCTTTAGCAAGGGAATAGGCAAAGGGCCAGGCAAGCTCGGAGGAGGGAGAAATGACTTAAGTGGGAGGTCAGGGAAGGCTTCCTGGAGGAGGGGGGCACTGAAGGATTTTTACATGTAGGGACATTAGGGAGGGTACTGGAGGGGAAGGGCACAGCAACAGCACATGGCAGGCACCTATGAGGAACAAATGAAGGCCGCCTGGACTCCAACAGAGGGGAGGGGAGGGGATGGGAGGCTGGGCATGGTGGCTCACACCTATAATCCCAACACTGTGGGAGGCTGAGTTGGGTGGATCACTTGAGGTCAGGAGTTCGAAACCAGCCTGGCCAATGTGGCAAAACCCCATCTCTACTAAAAATACAAAAATTAGCCAGACGTGCACCAGCCTGGTACAAGTCCCAACTACTAAGGAGGCTGAGGCAGGAGAATCATTTGAACCTGGGAGGCGGAGTTTGCAGTGAGCTGAGATGGTGCCACTGCACTCCATCCTGGGCGACAGACAAAGCGAGACTCTGCCTCAAAAAAAAAAAAAAAAAAAAAAAGGTTGGGGAGGAGAGTGAGGGCCAGGCCCATGTCCCAGGGGCCTGCTGACCTACCCCCCTGGCCCGCCCCTCGCAGGTGCTGGGCCTGTCACAGGGCAGCGTGAGCGACATGCTGTCCCGGCCGAAGCCATGGAGCAAGCTGACGCAGAAGGGGCGGGAGCCCTTCATCCGCATGCAGCTGTGGCTCTCTGACCAGCTCGGCCAGGCAGTGGGCCAGCAGCCTGGTGCCTCCCAGGGTGAGTGCGGGCAGGAGCATCTCAGGGGGTGCTGGCAAACTTCCCACCTGCGCAGTGGCATGTCCGCCTGGCTTTACTGCCCGAGTCTACCTATCTCTCCCTCCCTGCTGCCCTGGCTTTCATCCCAGTCACTGTCATGGCTGCACTGGAACATGGCGGGGGGTCCTGGGGTTTCTCTGCTCCCCTTTCTTCCTTCCTCCAACCAGAGGGAGGCTTCTAGAAGCTGCACGCCTGATGCACTGGGTCCTGGCTTTAAGCCTCCAAGTGGCTCCATGGTGCTCAGAGCAGGTGGAGAATGTGTTTTGCATGTGGAGTCCCACATCTGGAATTGCTCATCGATCTCAGCTCTGTTTCCTGAAGACCTAGCGTGCAGCCTCAGACTCCTTCTTAGCACAGGGCCTTGGGCAGTGCCACCCAGCTGCCCATGATAGCACGAGCAGGCTGGAGTGTCAGCTTTGCCCGGGTGAGGAAACGGAGGCTCAGAGGGATGCCCAAAGTCCCAGAGTCCGGAAGTGCTAGGGGGAGCCCCAGCTCCCTGCCACTGTGGGGACCAGCGGATAAGTCTGCCAGGGCCCTGGTGAGGCACCTACCCGGGCCCTGCACTGGAATGAGGGCACGTGACTGCAAGGAGAGGACATCAGACCTGCCCACTGAGAAGGGCAGAGACCAGGGGAGGCCAGACCCTGAGTCCAAGGATCTGAGCTCAGTCTTGTCAATAGGACAAAACCATATCTCAGGTTCACAGAAACGAGCCAGGTCAGCAGGCCCATATCAACAGGAATATGGACTGGAAACATAATGTCAAGTGACAAAAGCCTCCATCCCAGTGACAGTGCTTACTATAGAAGCTAACACCTACAGGATGAGACTGCACACTGGTGTAGCTGTATGGCTGCAGACTTATGCATTAATATTTAAAAAGAGGCTGAGGACAGGCATGGGGGCTCACGCCTGTAATCCCAGCACTTTGGGAGGCTGAGGCTGGAGGATCTCTTGAAGCCAGGAGTTCAAGATCAGCCTGGGCAATAGAGGGAGACCGTGTCTCTACAAAATATAAAAATAATCAGTTGGAATGGTACGTACCTGTGGTCCCAGCTACTCGGGAGGCTGAGGCAGGAGGATCACTTGAGCTGTGATCATCCCACTGCACTCCGGCTTGGGTGACAGAGTAAGACCTTGTCTCAGAAAAAAGGAGGCCGAGCACAGTGGCTCACGCCTGTAATCCCAATACTTTGGGAGGTGAAGGCAGGAGGATCTCTTGAAGCCTGGAGTTTGAAATCAGCCTTGGCAACATGGCGAAACCTCATCTCTACAAATAAAAAATTAGCCGGGTATGGTAGCATGTGCCTGTAAGGGTGAGGCAGGAGGATCGCTTAAGCCCAGAAGTTCGAGGCTGCAGTGAGCTATGATCATGCCACTGCAGTGCATCTCACACTGCACTGGGCAAGTGAGACCATCTCTAAAAGAATTAATAAAATGAAATGTATAGGCCGGGTGTGATGGCTCACACCTGTAATCCCAGCACTTTGGGAGGCCAAGGCGGGCGGATCACAAAGTCAGGAGTTCGAGACCAGTCTGGCCAACATGGTGAAACCCCGTCTCTACTAAAAATACAAAAAATTAGCTGGAAATGGTGGCGTGCACATGTAATCTTAGCTGCTTAGGAGACTGAAGCGGGAGAATCACATGACCTGGGAGGCAGAGGTTGCAGTTGAACTGAGATCCTCACCATTGCGCTCCAGCCTGGGCAACAGTGTGAGACTCTGTCTCAAAAAAAAAAAAAAAAGAAAGAAAGAAATGCATAAGGAGGCAGCCCCCCAGCTGGGGAGGGAGGTTGCACTGGGCAGGGAGGGGGCCAGGAAGAGGCAGGGCGTGGTGACTTTGCTCTGCTCCTTTCCTATTCTTTTTTTTGTTTTGTTTTGTTTTTGTTTTTGTTTTGAGACAGAGTCTTGCTCTGTTGCCCAGGCTGGAGTGCAATGGCATGATCTCGGCTCACTGCAACCTCTGCCTCCCGGGTTCAAGCGATTCTCCTGCCTCAGCCTCCCGAGTAGCTGGGGTTACAGGCGTGCGCCACCATGCCCAGCTAATTTTGTATTGTTAGTAGAGACGGGGTTTCTCCATGTTGGTCAGGCTGGTCTTGAACTCCTGACCTCAGGTGATCCACCCACCTTGGCCTCCCAAGGTGCTGGGATTACAGGCGTGAGCCACAGCACCTGGCCCTTTCCTGTTTCTTTAAAACAAGAAGGAAGATTGGAAGTGACGGGGGTGAAGTGTCAGCATCGATTACGGTGATGGGTGGAAGGGAGGGGAGGACTTACATATTGTTGTCTGTATATTTCTATATGTTTTTAATAGTTTATAAATACAATGATTTAAAAACTCCTCTCCATAAGGCTGTAACGAGGATTAAAAGCAGCCATGCTGGCCGGGTGGGGTGCCTCATGCCTGTAATCCCAGCACTTTGGGAGGCTGAGGCAGGCGGATCACAAGGTCAGGAGATTGAGACCATCCTGGCTAACTCGGTGAAACCCGTCTCTACTAAAATTACAAAAAAAAAAAAAAAATTATCCGGGCGTGGTGGCAGGCGCCTGTAGTCCCAGCTACTCAGGAGGCTGAGGCAGGAGAATGGTGTGAATCCGGGAGGCGGAGCTTGCAATGAGCCGAGATCCTGTCACTGCACTCCAGCCTGGGCGACAGAGCGAGACTCCGTCTCAAAAGAAAAAAAAAAAAGCAGCCATGCTAATGCTAATGACCGCTGCCACTTACCACACATAGCACCAAGTGGTCAAAGTGCTTTGTCCTGTAATCTTCATGTCAGTCTCCACCAAAGG
This sequence comes from Homo sapiens, assembly GCF_000001405.40. NCBI lineage: Eukaryota > Metazoa > Chordata > Mammalia > Primates > Hominidae > Homo > Homo sapiens. Next base: position 111,325,412 of record NC_000012.12, read on the forward strand.
GACTGTTTATCATTTCCATTTCACAGATGAGGAAATCCAGGGGCATGGTAGTGCAGTGACTTGCCCAAGGCCATCATCCAGTGAGTGGCAGACCTAGGATGAGCACCCTGGGCTGTGGGCCATCAGGCTTCCTGCCCCCTAGGGTCCCGAAATGTGTCTACCCCAGAGCCTACCTGGGAAAAGACTTCCATCCTTTTTTGTTTATAGTGTTGTGGTGGGGAGGGGTGGGTTTTGTTTATAGTGTTGTGGTGGGGGAGGGGTGGGTTTTGTTTATAGTGTTGTGGTGGGGGAGGGGTGGGTTTGTTTATAGTGTTGTGTTGGGGGAGGGGTGGGTTTTGTTTATAGTGTTGTGGTGGGGGAGGGGTGGGTTTTGTTTATAGTGTGGTGGGGGAGGGGTGGGTTTTGTTTATAGTGTTGTGTTGGGGGAGGGGTGGGTTTTGTTTATAGTGTTGTGTTGGGGGAGGGGTGGGTTTTGTTTATAGTGTGTTGGGGGAGGGGTGGGTTTTGTTTATAGTGTGTTGGGGGAGGGGTGGGTTTTGTTTATAGTGTTGTGGTGGGGGAGGGGTGGGTTTTGTTTATAGTGTTGGGGTGGGGGAGGGGTGGGTTTTGTTTATAGTGTTGTGGTGGGGGAGGGGTGGGTTTTGTTTATAGTGTTGGGGTGGGGGAGGGGTGGGTTTTGTTTATAGTGTTGGGGTGGGGGAGGGGTGGGTTTGTTTATAGTGTTGTGATGGGGAGGGGTTGGTTTTGTTTATAGTGTTGTGGTGGGGGAGGGGTGGGTTTGTTTATAGTGTTGTGGTGGGGGAGGGGTGGGTTTTGTTTATAGTGTTGTGGTGGGGGAGGGGTGGGTTTTGTTTATAGTGTTGTGTTGGGGGAGGGGTTGGTTTTGTTTATAGTGTTGTGGTGGGGGAGGGGTGGGTTTTGTTTATAGTGTTGTGGTGGGGGAGGGGTGGGTTTTGTTTATAGTGTTGTGGGGGAGGGGTGGGTTTTGTTTATAGTGTTGTGTTGGGGGAGGGGTGGGTTTTGTTTATAGTCTTGTGGTGGGGTAGGGGTTGGTTTTGTTTTATAGTGTTGTGGTGATGGAGGGGGTTGGTTTTTGGTTTTTTGAGACATAGTCTCACTCTGTCACCCAGGCTGGAGTGGTGAGCCACTGCGCCTGGTCTGTGGTGTTAGGTTTTAACTAACTTTTTTACTGTAGTAAAATTCACATAACAGCTGGGCACCGTGGCTCACACCTGTAATCCCAGCACTTTGGGAGGCCGAGGCGGGCCGATCACTTGAGCCCAGGAATTTGAGACCAGCCTGGCCAACATGGAGAAATCCCGTCTCTCCTAAAAGTACAAAAATTAGCCGGGTGTGGTAGCACGCATCTGTAATCCCAGCTACTCGGGAGGCTAAGGCGAGAGGATCGCTTGAACCCAGGAAGCAGAGGTTGCAGTGAGCCGGATGGCACCACTGCACTGCAGCCTGGGTGACAGAGTGAGACTCTGTCTCAAACAAAGAAACAAACAAACAAAAATCACATAACGTAAAATGTACCTTTTAAACCATTTTTGAAGTATACAATTCAGTGGATCTAATACATGCACAATGCGTGTGACCATCACCTCTGTCTAATTCCAGAATATTCCCACCGCCCCAAAAAGGAACCCCATACCCATCCAGCAGTCATTGCCCATCCTCCTTCCCCCCAGCTCCTGGAATTCCGCTTTCTTTCTGTCTGGATTTGCCTCTTCTGAATGTTTCATATAGATGGAATCCTGTACTACTTGGCCTTCTGTGGCTGGCTTCTTTCAGTTAACGTGTTTTCAAGGCTCATACAGGCTGTAGTATGCATCAGAATTTCCTTCCTTTTTTATGGCTAAATGATATTCCATTGTATGGATAGACCCCATTTTGACTATTTTGAATAATGCGCCTATGAAAATTTGTGTACATATTTGTGTTTGAACCCCCATTTTCAGTTCTTCGAACATATATCTAGGAGTACAGTTGGCTAGATCATATGGTAACTCTTGTGTTTAACTTACTGAGGAAGTTCAAAGGGTTTCTGTTTCTCCAGGTCCTTACCAACATGGGTTATCTCCCATTTGTTGACGCTAGCCATCCTGGTGGGTGTGTAAGTGGTATTTCACTGTAGTTTTTATTTGCATTTCCCCAATGTCTGATTGTTTTGGTTGTAGATTTTATTGTCATGGAAGGATTTGACCACAGGTAGGATAGAGGTAAGCAGAGAAGATGGAGAATGGTGCTCCTTGTGGAAGGAATGGCACAGGCAGCGGCTAGGAGGTGGGACCATGCACGGCCTGGGAAGGGATGTGAGTAGAGGTGGCGGGGTCCCCTGCTCTCCCAGAATAGGAAGCCAAGGCTAGGCACAGTGCGTCACACCTGTAGTCCCAGGACTTTGGGAGGCTAAAGCAGGCGGATCACTTGAGGTCAGGAGTTTGAGACCAGCCTGACCAACATGGCAAAACCCCTTCTGTACAAAATTACAAAAATACAAAAATCAGCTGGGCATGGTGGCAGGTGCCTGTAGTCCCAGCTACTCAGGAGGCTGAGGTATGAGGATGCTTGAGCCTAGGAGGTCAAGGCTGCAGTGAACTGGAGTGAGTGCCTTCCAGTCTGGACAATAGAGCGAGACCCTGTCTCAAAAACAATAATAATAATGATGAGGGAATCAGGCCTGGAGGTGGCTACTGTAGCTGCTGGCCCTAGGGAGAGAGTGGTGATGGCAGAGCCACCCTCACAGCCTCTGCTTGTTCATAACCCACTGGGCCTGGAAGCAAAAGGGTGTATCCATTGCCCACAAAGTCCCACAGAGTCTGGCTGTGGGGCTGGGTGTCAGGACCTGTCCAAGCCCCGCTTGTGTATGCCCTGGCCACTGGGGCGGGCAGGGACCGGCACTGGAACCCTGACCATACCTGTTACTGAAGTTGAGCCAGATGCCACGGGAGGGTTATAAAGCACGCCCTTATCCCCACGTCCACTGCCAGGCGCAGCCCCGGGTATAATCGGCGCTACCTACCGTGGCAGCATCAGTATTCCAGACCCTTCCATCCGAGGTTTCTCAGAATTCTCAAGCAGTCAAGGAAGCCCTGTCCTGTCCCCATACACAGTCCCTGTCTTCCCTCTGTCTCTCTCCTGATCTCTGTCTCTCTCCTCCAATTTCTTTTGTGTGTGTGTGTGTGTGTGTGTGTGTGTGTGTGTGTGTGACAGAGTCTCACTCTGTCGCCCAGGCTGGAGTGCAATGGTGTGATCTCGGCTCACTGTAACCTCCGGCTCCTGGGTTCAAGCAATTCTCCTGCCTCAGTCTCCGAAGTAGCTGGGATTACAGGCACCCAACTAATTTTTTGTATTTTTAGAAGAGACAGGTTTTGCCATGTTGGCCAGGCTGGTCTTGAACTCCTGACCTCAGGTGATCCACCCACCTTGGCCTCCCAAAGTGCTGGGATTACAGGCATGAGCTACTGCACCCAGTCACCTCCATTGTCTTCTTTCTGTTTTTCTCACTCTGCATTTTTTTGATTCACCTATCTCTCTCTCTCTCTCTCTCTCTCTCTCTCTCTCCCCCTCTCTCCCTCTCTCCCTCTCCCTCTCCTCCCCCCACCCCACTCTCTCTCTCCCCCTGCCTCTCTCACCATCTCTCTCCCCCTCTGTTTGCTCTGTCTCTTCCTCCCTGACCCTCCCTGTCCCTCCAGTGCTCTCTTTTCATCTCTCTTGCACCATCCTTATCTCTCCAGGAGAGAGAGATTTCCCAGGATCTGGAACTTTCTGTAGTAAAATAAGGAAAGTCGCGGGCAGACTGGGATGGGTTGGTCACTCTGCTCTCTCTCCTGTCCCCAGCTGCCCACAGCCCTGTCTGGCACCCCACCCACAAGCCCAGCAAGGCAAGAAGACCCTGCCTCTCCCTGTCGTCGCCTCCCTCTCCAAATAACCCAGTTGTTCACATGTGACTCCCCCAGCCCTGTAATTAGCACAGTCTTCCTGATAGAGATAATTTCTGAATCTTTCCATCACTTCGTCAGAAGCGATTCTCAGTCAGAGGAGTCAGAAAGGCGGGGTTCTCCCTGGGGGAGTGGGATTGGGGGGTGGCTGTGTTCTTTCCTGCCAATCATCTCCATGTCATCCTGTTCGCTTCGCTTCTTGGCCCTCTAGGTTGGGACATGGGTGCAGATAGTTTTCCAAGAGGGAGATGCCTTCAAAGACCCTCAGTTTTTTGTGTTTTTTGTTTGTTTGTTTGTTTTCGAGGTGGAGTCTTGTTCTTTCACCTAGGCTGGAGTGCAGTGGCGCAATCCCGGCTCACTGCGACCTCTGCCTCCCAGGTTCAACCAATTCTCCTGCCTCAGCCTCCAGAGTAGCTGGGGCTACAGGTGTGTGCAAACACACCTGGCTAATTTTTTGTATTTTTAGTAGAGATGGGGTTTCACCATGTTGGCCAGGCTGGTCTCGAACCCCTGACCTCAGGTGATCCACCCGCGTTGGCCTTCCAAAGTGCAGGGATTACAGGCGTGAGCCACCATGCCCGGCCCAAAGACCGTCAGTTTTCCAGCTGGCCCCAGCCCCTCTCCTGCTGCCGACAGTGGGCAGACACCTAGGACAGACTCTCACTTTCCCAGACTGGCCCTCCCACACCAACATGGCATCAGTGTTGGTAACAGTGAGCCTGGAACATGCCCACGTCAGCCTTGGCATCACATGGATGCTACCTGAATGGCCAGGATCAGCTCACTTGGGGCTGGGGGCACAGTAGACTTCTTGAGACCTCACGGTCACAAAGGGCCATGATGCTGCTACTTCGAACTCGGGGGCTTCACCTTGCCCTCTTCAGGAGTACTCAGGGATCCTGGCTGAAATTACTCCATAGGCATCTGCCCAGAGCCCCTGCCCCACCCCCAGGCTCTGGGGACTCACCTGTGACTAACTTGTAGTCCTTGCCTTCAAGGGGCTCACAGTTGGTAGATGAGAGGACAGTGTTGGGCATAACCCAACCCCAGCTCAAGTCCTGACTTTGCCATTTATTGCTGTGTGATCTTGGACACGTTGTCTAACCTCTCTGAACCTCGGTTTCCTCACCCATAAAATGGGATGACATAGCACTTACCTCTTAGAGGTGTCATGAGGGTCACTTGAGATCATGAGCATTGGCCAGCCACAGTGACCCATGCCTGTAATCCCAACACTTTGGGAGGCCGAGGCAGGAGGATGACTTGAGCCCAGGAGTTTGATACCAGCCTGGGCCACATAGTGAAACCCTATCTCTATTTAAAAATACATATACATATATATATATATATATATATATATATATATATATATATATATATATATATATATATATATATAAAGAGAGAGGGATCATAGGCATAAAGCACATAATACTACACTGGGCATGTAGTAAGTACTCAATAAAGGGAATTTATTAACATCATCATCATTGTCATCAGTAAGGAAGAGATCTGGCCCAAGCAAGAAATTATAGCAAACTGTGACAATATATATTCAAGGTGCTATTAGACCCCAAAAGTCTAATAGACCTCAGGGAAGGGACATTTAGGACTGGATCTTGAGGAATGCATAGGAGTTCAAGATTAGAAGGAAAGTCCTCAGGATGGCAAGACCAGCCTGAGCAAAGACATAGGGGCTTAGAGAGGAGCCTAGATGTTTGTGAAGGGGAGTGAGGGAAATGCTGTAGCTCCAGTTGGCAGGGACAAGGGAGTTCAGAGCCTTAATCACCAAGACAAGGTGATAGACATTTCTTGCACAAGGGGCAATGGGGAGCCATTGATGATTCTGGAGCATAGGAGTGGTCTGATCCGAGTGACCAACTCACCCACGACAGAGAAGGAAGGAACCCATCCTGGGCTCAGGATGTCTCTTCTGAAAGTAAAGCCGTTGCTCCCTTTTCTTCCAGCTGTCATACATTTTAATGGTTATTTTAACAAGTTTCCAGCAGGTGGCAGTTGAATGCCTCAAGGAAGAGGCATCTTTTTCTAATGTGCTGGGATTAGGTGTGGCCAGTGCTGGGATTCCTAGACCCCACACCATGCTTGCCAACCCATTAGGGGTGCCTCCCTGGGGATGCTCCCACCTTTCCTGGTTTCTCAGGAGGCTCAGCTCACACTGGGACTCCCATGGGTGCCTCTAATGCCCCAGGAGGTGGAGGTGGTAGAGGAGGTGGAGGTGGACCCTTGCCCCACGTTATCTCATGGAGGTCTCTCGATGGCCCCAAGTAGTATGTATAATGCTACGTGTCTTATGGCCCCATTTAACAGATGGAAGGACGGAGGCTTGGCAAAGTCATCCACCCGAGATCACAAGCCCCAGATATCTTTCAAATCATTTTTCCAATATATAGTCACACAAAATGTCTTTTGAAAAATGAAAAATGGGCCCGGCATGGTAGTTCAAGCCTGTAATCCCAGTACTTTGGGGGCGCCGAGGAGGGTGGATCACTTGAGGTCAGGAATTCAAGACCAGCCTGGCCAATATGGCGAAACCCCATCTCTACTAACAATACAAAAGTTAGCCGGGTGTGGTGGCAAACGCTTGTAATCCCAGCTATGGGGGAGGCTGAGGCAGGAGAATCACTTGAACCCAGGAGGCTAGGTTGCAGTGCGCCAAGATCATGCCACTGCACTCCAGCCTGGGCGACAGAGTGAGTGAGACTCCATCTCCAAAAAAAAAGAAAAATGAAAAATGTAGTTTAAAAATCTGTCTACCTTTTTTTTTTTTTTTTTTTTTGGAAACAGAGTCTTGCTCTATTGCCCAGGCTGGAGTGCAGTGGTGTGATCTCGGCTCTCTGCGAGCTCCGCCTCCCAGGTTCAAGCGATTCTGCTGCCTCAGCCTCCCGAGTAGCTGGGATTACAGGCATGTGCCACCATGCCCAGCTAATTTTTGTATTTTTTAGTAGAGACGGGGTTTCACCATTTGGCCAGGCTGGTCTCCAACTCCTGACCTTAGGTGATCCTCCCACCTTGGCCTCCCAAATTGCTGGGATTATGGGCATGAGCCACTGCACCCGGCCCCAATCTAGCTTTTTAATGTGGCATTGCACCATGGACATCTTTTCATTACATTTTCTTTCATTGCCTCGGAAGAGCCCACTGCAGGGATCCCCCATATTTTATTCAGCCAATCTCCTGTGGTTGAACTTGTAGATCATTGCTGGATCATTGCTGACTTCTTTAGTTGTTGCCGTTTATTTAACTTTTCGTTTTGAGGTAACTTCTAATTTACAGAAAAATTGAAACAGTAGAACAGCAAACTCCCTGCACTGTACCCAGTTTGAACAGTTATTAATTTTGCCATAATCGTGCTCTTTCTCTGCCATTTGAGGAATTCATTGACATCTTGTCCCTTTAGCCCTAAATGCTTCAACAAGTGCTTTCCAAAAACAAGAAATTTTACAGTGGTAAAATACTGGCATGTATCCCACCATCTATATTCAGGTTTCTTCAGTTGTCCCAATAATATCCTTTATGAGCTATATAAATTTTTAGATACAATATATAAATCTTGGCCAGGTGCTGTGGCTCACGCCTGCAATACCAGCACTTTGGGAGGCTAAGGCAGGTAGATCACTTGAGGTCAGGAGTTTGAGACCAGCCTGGCCAACATGGTGGAACCCCGTCTCTACTAAGAATACAAAAAATTAGCCGGGTGTGGTGGCATGCACCTATAATCCCAGTGACTTAGGAGGCTGAGGCACAAGAATCTCTTGAACCCGTGAGGTGGAGGTTGCAGTGAGCCAAGATCATGCCACTGCACTTCAGCCTGGGTGAAGTTTTTTGAGACAGAGTGAAACTCTTGTCTCAAAAAAAGAAAAGTGAGCCAGGCATGATGATGCACACCTGTGGTCCGAGCTGCTTGGGAGGCTAAGGTGGAAGGATCACTTGAGCCCAGGAGGTCGAGGTTGCAGTGAGTTATCACCAAGCCACTGCACTCCATCCTGGGCAACACAGCAAGACCCTGTCTCAAAATGAATTAATTAAATAAAATATGTAAATTTCTTTTCCCTGTGCAGGATGAGATTCAAGATCACTTGTGTTTAGTTTTCATGTTTTGATTTCGACAGTTCTGCCTTTCTTTGTTTTCCAGTGTTGCCCTTTCTGAAGAGTAGAGGCTGTTATTTCCTGGACAGTCTGAGTTTGGTTGCCTGATGTTCCCTTGAAATCAGATTCGGGCTGTGTACTTGGGGCTGGGAATATCACAGAAGTGATGCCATGTCCTTCTCAGGCCATCCTCTCAGGAGGCCCATGTTGCTGACTTGCCCTGTGATTGGTGATAGTAACTTGGATCATTGGTTAAGATGGTATCCACCAGTGCCTGTAATCCCAGCTAGTCAGGAGGCTGACGCAGGAGAATCGCTTGAACCCGGGAAAGAGGTTGCAGTGAGCCGAGATCGCACCACTGCACTCCAGCCTGGGTGACAGAGAGAGTCCAACCAGGTCTCTGTACTGTAAAGTGGCTACTTTTCCCTTTGTAATTACTAAGCATCGGCCAGGTGTGGTGGCTCATGTCTGTAATCCCAGCACTTTGGGAGGCTGAGGCGGGTGGATCATGAGGTCAGGAGATTGAGACCATCCTGGCTAACATGGTGAAACCCCGTCTCTACTAAAGATACAAAAAATTAGCAGGGCGTAGTGGCGCATGCCTGTAGTCCCAGCTACTTGGGAGGCTGAGGCAGGAGAATCGCTTGAACCCGGGAGGCGGAGGTTGCAGTGAGCCGAGATCACACCACTGCACTCCAGCCTAGGCAACAGAGCGAGACTCCGTCTTAAAAAAAAAAAAAAAATTGCTAAGCATCATGTGGGGAGATACTTGGAGACTTTGTAGAAATCCCAGTCCAGTCCTCATCAAACTTTCATCCACTAGTTTTAGCATCCAGGGTGGTCCCTACCTGAGCGATTATTACTACAGTGGTTGCAAAATGGGTGTTTGGCAACTCTTGGCTGTAAGAAGCAAGCCTCCCGAAAGTGGATGTGTCTGTGCCAGATTATAGTAACCACCTTCTCTTTCTCTGTGGCCCACAGCCAGTCCCACAGAACCAAGGTCCTCACCATCCCCACCCCCCAGCCCCACAGAGCCTGAGAAGAGCTCCCAGGAGCCGTTGAGCCTGTCCCTGGAGAGCAGCAAGGAGAACCAGCAGCCAGAGGGCCGCTCCAGCTCCTCGTTGAGCGGGAAGATGTACTCAGGCAGCCAGGCCCCAGGGGGCATCCAGGAGATCGTGGCCATGTCCCCCGAGCTGGACACGTACTCCATCACCAAGAGGGTGAAGGAGGTCCTCACAGACAACAATCTAGGTACGGAGCGGGTGGGAATCGGAGAGGCTGCCTCCCACCTGGGTTGGCTCCTACTTGCCTTGAAAAGGTGTCTGGAGCTGGGACCCAGTGGCTCATACCTGTAATTCCAGTGCTTTGGGAGGCCAGGGAGGGAGGATCGCTTGAGGCCAGGAGTTTGAGGCCAACCTGGGCAGCATAGCAAGATCTCATATCTTAAAAAAGCTTTTTAAAATTAGCTGAAAACTCCATGCATACAAACTTCACACGTGTTGGTGCATGCCTGTAGTCCTAGCAACTCAGGAGCCTGAGGCAGGAGAATCGCGTGAGCCCAGGAGTTCAAGGCTGCAGTGAGCTATGATCATGCCACTGCATGCCAGCCTGGGCAACAGAGCAAGACCTTGTCTATAAAATAAATTAATGGCTGTGCATGGTGGCTCACACCTGTAATCCCAGCATTTTGGGAGGCCCAGGCAGGTGGATCATCTGAGGTCAGCAGTTCGAGACCAGCCTGGCCAACATGGTGAAACCTCGTCTCTACTAAAAATACAAAAAAATTAACCAGGCGTGGTGGCACATGCCTGTAGTCCCAGCTACTTGGGAGGCTGAGGCAGGAGAATCGCTTGAACCTGGGAGGCAGAGGTTGCAGTGAGCCGAGATCACACCACTGCACTCTAGCCAAGGCGACAGAGCGAGACCTCATCTCAAAAAAAAAATCAGTCAATCAGTAAAATAAAAAACAAGCTGGGCCCGGTGCCTCACGCCTGTAACCTCAGCACTTTGGGAGGCCAAGGCAGGCGAATCACCTCAGGTCAGGAGTTCCAGATCAGCCTGGCCAACATGGTGAAACCCCATCTCTACTAAAAATACAAAAAGTAGCCGGGTGTGGTGGCATGCACTTGGAATCCCAGCAACTCAGGAGGCTGAGGAGAATCGTTTGAATCCAGGAGGTGGAGGTTGCAGTGAGCCGAGATTGTACCACTGCACTCCAGCCTGGGCAACACAGTGAGACTCCATCTCCAAAAAAATAAAAAATAAAAAAGCTTCCTAAAATTAGCTGCAAACTTCATGCAAACAAACTTCACACATTGTGGTGAATGCCTATAGTCCTCAGGAAGCTGAGGCAGGAGGCCTGCACGAGCCCAGGAATTCAAGGCTGCAGTGAGCTATGATCATGCCATTGCACTCCAGCCTGGACGACAGAGGAAGACCTTGTCTCTAAAAAAGTTAAATTAAAAAAAAAAAAAGACAAAAGTGCCCACGGTGAGATCCCAGGGCACTGGAGTCAGCCCCAGGGCATCCAGGACCCTGTGTGAGGCATCTGGCTCTGACCTGGGTCTGGGATAGGACAAAGTGAATGCAGGTCTGAGAGGACCTGGAATTCTCAGCCCACGGCTTTAAAAACTTCCTTCCAGGAAGACGTGGAGAACCCCAGTCACTGCGGAACTCCAGCTCAGTCCTCACCCGGTGCTGAAGTCTTTGCCCTCTTGGGCCACAGTGGAAAAATCTCTTCTAGGGCTCTTTCCCTTTTTGGGACACAAATTCCTCTGAGTCTTAAATGCGGGTGATGCCCCCCTACCAGAGGGATGTATGCAAACCCCAACATTTTCACTACAATTCCTGTTATAAAAATAAGACATATTCATTGTTTTAAGGTATACCGAAAAGTACAGGAAAAAAAAAGTTACTAAAAAAGTAAATAAATCCCTCCCCATTGGCCTCTCAGACACTTCAGTGTTGTGTGTGTGTGTGTGTGTGTGTGTGTGTGTGTGTTTAAGATGGAGTCTCCTGTCACCCAGGCCCCAGGCTGGAGTGCAGTCGTACGATCTCAGCTCACTGCAACCTCCGCCTCCCAGGTTCAAGTGATTCTCCTGCCTCAGCCACCCTAGTAGCAGGGATTACAGGCCTGAGCCACCACTCCTGGCTAATTTTTTTATTTTTAGTAGAGACAGAGTTTCACCATGCTGGCCAGACTGGTCACGAACTCTTGACCTCAAGTGATCCTCCCGCCTCATCCTCCCAAAATGCAGGGGTTACAGGTGTGAGCCACCGTGCCCAGCCCACACTTCAGTTTTTTAATGTCTCTTTGACACTTTCTGAACACATATAAGAACATATATACACTTAATTTCCTCTCCTTTTTTTTCTGTGTAGACGAAATGATACAAATATTGCGTTGCAACTTGCTTTTGAAAAATGAACACTAGGCTGGGTGTAGTGGCTCACACCTGTAATCCCAGCACTTTGGGAGGCCGAGGCGGGAGGACTGTTGGAGGGCATGAGTTCCAGACCAGCCTGGGCAACACGGCGAAACCCCGTCTCTACAAAAAATAGAAAAATTAACTGGGCATGGTAGTGTGTGCCTATAGTCCCAGCCACTCGGGAGGATAAGGCAGGAGGATGGCTTGAGCCCAGGAGACAGAGGTTGCAAGGAGCCAAGATCACACCACTGCAGTCCAGCCTGGGTGATAGAGCCAAACTTTGTCCCCAAAAAAATGAAAAATAAAAATACAAAAATTAGCCAGGTGTGGTGGCTTAAGCCTGTGCTCTCAGCTACTTGGGAGGCTGAGGTGGGAGGATCACTTGAACCTGGGAGGCAGAGGTTATAGTGAGCTGAGATCACACCACTGCACTCCAGCCTAGGTGATAGAGTGAGACCCTGTCTCAAAAAAAAAAAAAAAAGAAAAGAAAAATGAACACTATTTTGTGGGCACCCTTCCACCCACGTTAGAATAATTCTATTACCCGCATTCTTTTTCACCACTGGAGAGTGTTTCAGGCCATGGATGCGCCACAGTTTTTTACCCAACTGATGGGCATTTTGGCTTTTTCCACTTTCCTGCTGCCTCTAAAAATAAGTCTGTGTGCATCTGTGTGAACTTGGGCAAGTGCAGCTATCCCAGGCAGTGGAACTGCTTGCTCCGAAGCTGTGCACATTTAAAACTGGGATGGAATCTGTCAAATTATCCTCCAACACGGTGATACAAATTTGTGTGTATGATGTTGGCAGACAATTTCAGGGATCTCCTAGGAGTAAAGAACCTCTTAAATTAAAAAAGCACTTTTGGGCCAGGCCCAGTGGCTCACGCCTGTAATTGCAGCACTTTGGGAGGCCAAGGCAGATGGATCACCTGAGGTCAGGAGTTTGAAACCAGCCTGGCCAACATGGGAAACCCCATCTCTACTAAAAATACAAAAATTAGCTGGGTGTGGTAGTACGTGCCTGTAATCCCAGCTACTCGGGAGGCTGAGGCAGGAGAATTGCTTGAACCTGGGAGGCAGAGGCTGCAGGGAGCCAAGATCATGCCACTACGCTCAGCCTGGGCAATAGAGTGAAACTCTGTCTCAAAAAAAGAAAAAAAAAAAAAGCTCTTTTGTTGGTTGCTGCCTCGTCCTGCCCCCAAATCTCTTTTACAGACAGACCCCCCTCGGCTTCACATCAGGTGTGGGTCCTCCGCCGTCTCTGGCCCTCCCTTCGGAGTCAGTGGAGATAGCCTCGAGGCTCTCCCCTGTGTCTCTGGCCTATTCCATGTCTCTCCTGGGAGTAGGCTTCTCTGCCCAGCCTCGGGTAACAGATTGCTCCCCTCCCCTATCCCCAGGGCAGCGGCTGTTTGGGGAAAGCATCCTGGGTCTGACACAGGGCTCCGTGTCTGACCTGCTGTCCCGGCCCAAACCCTGGCACAAGCTGAGCCTGAAGGGGCGGGAGCCTTTTGTCCGCATGCAGCTGTGGCTCAATGACCCCCATAACGTGGAGAAGCTGAGGGATATGAAGAAGCTGGAGAAGAAAGGTAAGACTTGGGCAGAGGATGGGCCCCAGCACTGGGTCTCAGATTTTCCCCAGAACCATATCTAGCTGTAACCCACATAAACCCAGGGCTCCCATGGTCCAGTCTCAGCCTACTATGGGACTGCATGAAATAGCAACCTTGAAAAACAATGTAACAATGTGATTGAAAGCAGTGAAGATATTTACAGCCTGTCGCAGTGGCAGGGCATGGGTAGTCCTGGCTGCTTGGGAGGCTAAGACAGGAGGATCACTTGGGAGGCTAAGGCTTGCAGATCACTTGGGAGGCTAAGGCAGGAGGATTGCTTGAGGATCACTTGGGAGGCTAAGGCAGGAGGATCGTTCAAGGCTGCAATGTGCTATGATCAAAGCTGTGAATAGCCACTGCACTCCAGCCTGTGCAGTGCAGTAAGACCCCATCTCCAATTTTTAAAAAAGTTGGTAAATATTTACTACCTCTCCCATGAAAAGCCAATACTCTGCCAGGTGCAGTGGCTCACGCCTGTAATCTCAGCACTTTGGGAGGCTGAGGCGGGCAGATCACCTGAGGTCGGGAGTTCAAGACCAATTTGGCCAATATGGCAAAACCCTGTCTCTACTAAAAATAAAAAATTAGCTGGGCATGGTGGTGCACACCTGTAATCGCAGCTACTTGGGAGGCTGAGGCAGGAGAATCACTTGAACCTAGGAGGTGGAGGTTGCGGTGAGCTGAGATCACGCCACTGCACTCCACCCTGGGCGACAGAACGACTCTGTCTCAAAAAAAAAAAGAAAGAAACAAAAGGAAACCTAACACCCCATCTCTTGTTGTCCTTTCACACCTCTGAAGCTACACCAAAGTCTGTTGCCAGCCCCAACTGTCTATTTCCCAAAACTCTGTGTACCTCCCTCCCTCCTCTGCCTCAGCCCCCTGTTTTGTAGATCAGCCCTTGGCCCATTACCCAGATTCTACATAACAAAGGACAGGACCAGGAACCGTCTCTTGTAGGGCTGGGCAAGGAGATTGCAAGTTCTCACATTGTCTGACATTATATCCTGATAAGATAAGCTGGCATTGTCTACAGCCATACCACCCGGAATGCTGATCTCAGAAGCTAAGCCGAGTCAGGCCTGGTTAGTATTTGGATGGAAGATAAGCTGGCATTGAGCTGGGCACCCAGTCTCATGCTATGCATCAAGGATTCCTCTATATTTCCAAAGGTTCAAAGTCCATTGGAAGATAAGATAGGAGCAGTTGAAGTTGCCATCCAGGTCGTGAGGGCAGGTCGTGTGATGACCCAGGGACACGCCAGACTGTGGAGAGCACCTAGGGCTGGGCCATCATCATCAGACAATGCTGTGGTTGAGAACTTGACCTTCTACCTCCTTGCCGTGTGACAACCTCAAGCTAGTTACTGAAAATAAGAGAGCTGGCTGCTCTCTATTTCTGAAAACAAGAGAGCTGGCTCAATGTGGTGGCTCACACCTGTAATCCTAGCACTTTGGGAGGCCAAGGTGGATGGATCACTTGAGGCCAGAAGTTCAAGAGCAGCCTGGCCAACATGGTGAAACCCCATCTGTATTAAAAATACAAAAATTAGCTGGGCATGGTGATGCATGCCTGTAATCCTAGCTACCTGGGAGGCTGAGGCAGGAGAACCGCTTGAACCTGGGAGGTGGAGGTTGCAGTGAGCCAAGAGGATCGTGCCACTGCACTCCAACCTGGGCGACAGAGCGAGACTCCATCTAAAAAAAAATGCATTTTCAGAGCCACAAAGCATTGCTGTGAGGATTAAGTAAGACCCTCATACCTTCTTTCATTCTGAAGTGGGCTTTTTTCTCCCCAACATCTTCATGATCTGGGGTCAAGATGCACCATGCAGTCAGTAAGTCATTTAAGTTACTGTCCCTACCTATTGCCCACTGAAGGCTGTTCAGAAATTCAGGGATGCTTCTGACAATCTAGAGGATATTGTAGGCTAGATGTGGCGGCTCATACCTGTAATCTCAGCACTTTGGAAGGCCAAGGTGGGAGGATTGCTTGAGGCCAAGAGTTTGAGACCAGCCTGGGCAACAGAGTGAGATTCTAATTCTTATGTAAAAAATAAAGTTTCCCCTTCAAAGACTTTCCTCCCCATTTAATTAGGAAAATAGTAACTTCTCTTAGAAGCAAAATTTATTCAAAGACCTGTGCTAACATTCTTAAATATCTGCTAGCCGTGATAAAGACATCAATGTACTTTACGTTCTTAGCTCCCACGATTTAGCCTAAATATTTGCCCTGGCATGCTTATAGTGGTCCAAGCAAGCATTAGGTCATAGCCTGTTCCTCTTCCTTATTTAAGGGGGTTTTTACCTTTCTCAACTTTTTCCACAAGTTACTTCCTCCTTCCTTTGTTCTCCTCTGCCTTTACCTCTTTTAAAAAGTTCTAAGTTGCTAGCCAGTCAGGACAAACACAGCATGCGAAGTCCTGTTCCAGCCAGTGGAAACCGGACACAGCAGTAGGGTGGAAGCATCAGGTTATAAATGACCCTGTCTCCTTTGTTCGGTGTACTCTCGTGGCAAAACTGCTGGCGAGCGTACCCTTTCTACAGAAAGTATAAAAATGGCCTCACTGAGTAAATTAAATTTATATTCAAGTGCTATTTCTTTACGGCACCAGGGAACAAGCATTTCAAACACTCTACAAAACGATGAACCAGGCATGGTGGCGTGCACCTGTAGTCCCACCTACTCAGGAGGCTGAGGCAGGAGGATTGCTTGAGCCCAGGAGTTCAAGGTTGCAATGACTTGTGATTGTGCCACTGCATTCCAACCTGGGTGACAGAGAGAGACCCCATCTCTACAAAAAAAATTAAAAATTAGCCAGGGGTGGTGGTTCACACCTGTAATCCCAGCTACTTGGGAGGCTGAGGCAGGAGGATTGCCTGAGCCTAGTTGGTTGAAGCTACAGTGAGCCATGACTGCACCGCTGTACTCCAGGCTGGGTGACAGCGTGAGACCTTGTCTCTACAAAAACAGAGAGAATACTGTAGAGCACCCTGTTTCAAGTGCTTCCTATGCGTGAGGAATGCTCCTGAGTCTTCGCTCATGCCAGGGCTCCCGGGCGGGCGAGGTTAGGCTAGCATCTTGTGGCGGGGGATTGGGGGTTGGGAGATGCAGAAGGAGAGTGAGGAGGGAGAAAGGCTGGGGGGCGGGCCTCTAAGCTTAGGGCATGATGGCCTCCGAGTGGGCCTGACAGATGCACTCCCACCATGGAACTCCTGCTGGCCAGGAACTTTTGGGATGGGGACACCACCTCTCAGCCCTCCCTCTCTTCCTGGCCCCAGCCTACCTGAAACGTCGCTATGGCCTCATCAGCACCGGCTCAGACAGTGAGTCCCCGGCCACCCGCTCAGAGTGCCCCAGCCCCTGCCTGCAGCCCCAGGACCTGAGCCTCCTGCAGATCAAGAAGCCCCGGGTGGTGCTGGCACCCGAGGAGAAGGAGGCACTGCGGAAGGCCTATCAGCTGGAACCCTACCCCTCGCAGCAGACCATCGAGCTCCTCTCCTTCCAGCTCAACCTCAAGACCAACACCGTCATCAACTGGTTCCACAACTACAGGTGGGACTATGGGGGCGTACCCACAGGCGGGTGGCAGAATCCAGGTGGGACCCCTTCCCCATCCCAGGGCCTGGAGGGAGCCCCACATGGCCTCTGGGAGATGGAAGACCCCATCACATAGGCACTTAGATATAGAACACAGGCCCAAGTGCAGTGGTTCATGCCTGTAATCCCAGCACTTTGGGAGGCCAAGGTGGGAGGATCACTTGAGCCCAGGAGTTTGAGACCAGCCCTGGCAACATAGGGAGACCTCGTCTCTACAAAAAAAACTACAAAAATTAGTTGTGTGCGGTGGCATACACCTGTAGTCCCAGCTACTTGGGAGGCCGAAGTGAGAGGGTCACTTAAGCCCAGGAGGCGGAGGCTGCAGTGAGCCAAAATCATACCACTGCACTCCAGCCGGGGCGACAGAGACTCCATCTCAAAAAAAAAAAAAATTTAAAACACAGGCAAATGTGGAAGAAATCCCAGCTCCATCACTTTCAGCTGTGGAGCCTTCTTCACTTCCCTGAGCCTCAGTCTTCTAACCTGTAAAATGGGGTGGACAGTAGCAGGATCTACTTCATAGAGTTGCACAGAGGATTTGATAGACTAACATAGTTACATAAAATACCTAGCGTGTAGGCCAGGCGCGGTGGCTCACACCTGTAATCCCAACACTTTGGGAGGCCGAGGTGGGCAGATCACCTGAGGTCAGGAGTTCAAGATCAGCCTGGGAAACATAATGAAACCCCATTTCTTTGAAACATACAAAAATTAGCTGGACGTGGTGGTGCATGCCTATAGTGTCAACTACTTGGGAGGCTGAGGCGGGAGACTCATTTGAACCCAGGAGGCAGAGGTTGCAGTGAGCCGAGATTGTGCCACTGTACTCCAGCCTGGGCAACAGAGTGAGACTATCTCAAAAAAAAAAAAAAAAAAAAAAAATCCAGCACATAGTATGTGGTGGGTATTGATATGATTATTGTCATTATTTTTATTATTATTTCACCCTGTTTGCCTTGCGTCTGCCTCAAAGAAGGGACAGGGAAGGGTATTTGGGGGTACAGGCCTGAGGAACCCTGACTATTCATTGAGCCTCAGGGTGGATCCCTGATTTGGGGCTCCTGGCCCCTCCTACCCCTGAAACCGAAAGAAAAACCCCCTGGTATCCTCTTCAGGCTCCACCACCTCAGAGAGTGGGTGATTCCTACTTCAATGGCTGCTTCTTTCCATAGCTCTTCCCACTCTTGACTCCCTGGTCTCACAAGTCACTGGCCTGAAGTAGGTTGAGCTTCCTAGGAGTTTTAGTCCCAGGGCTGGCTCTGAGGAGACCCCTGTAAAGAACACTTGGGGGGATTTCAAGGACCATCTCTGAGGAACATCCCCCACCACACCCCTGCCAAGCTTCCTGAGCAGGAAAAGTCTCTGGTGCCCACATGGTACCAGAGAAGAAAATCCACTCATCCATTCCAGGGGGAGAGAATGTCTCTTGATCCCCAAGGAATCAAGGAAAGAGGAGATTGGTGGGAGGAGCAACTCAGCATCTCCTCTCTCCTGGGCACCAGGGTCCTATAGACCTGAGTCCATACCCTCTCTCAGTCCCCAATCCCCCCACAAGTCATTTTACTTCTCCACGTCTCACCCTTATTTTACAGATGAGGAACCTAATACCTATCCCACAATGCTTGATTGTAGATCAAATGAAATAACTCTGGGTATAAACACATTATAAAATATGGTTTTGACCGGGCGCAGTGGCTCACACCTGTAATCGCAGCACTTTGGGAGGCCAAGGCAGGCGGATCACCTGAGGTCAGGAGCTCAAGACCAGCCTGGCCAAAATGATGAAACCCCATCTCTACTAAAAATACAAAAGTTAGCCAGGCAGGGGCTTGTAATTCCAGCTACTCAGGAGGCTGAGACACGAGAATCACTTGAACCCAGGAGGTGGAGGTTGCTTTGAGCCGAGATCACACCACTGCACTCCAGCCTGGGTGACAGAGTGAGACTCTGTCTCAAACAGATAAATAAATAAAATAAAATATGGTTTATCATCTGGCTCAGAGCAGAGCCTGCCAAATAACAAATGACATAGGTCCTTAAAGCCTGCTCATTTCCTTCCCTCCCTGGGGGATATGGGGACATCTTCTCCTCTCTGATTCCCCACAGGAACTGAGCACTCCGTTATTATCCAACATATTCATTCAACAAACATTTCTAATGTATGCATAGTGAACCAATCCCCGCCCTTAAGGATCTTACAGTCATAAAACAGAACATTTCACTATAATCTAATAAATGCTGTGAAACAGGAAGGAACAAGGGGCCAAGGGAAAAGGGAATTCTGCCTGGGGAGGACTTTACAGAAGTGGTATTTGAGATGGGTTTTGAGGGATGAATAGGAGTTTGCACAAAGGAGAAGAGAGAATTCCACTCTCAAAAGAACTATCAAAGGGTTATAATTACAGAAGAACACATTATTTCATTTGGTAAATGTTTACTGAGCATCTACTCTGTACCAGACGCCACAGAAAACAAGACAAAGTCCCTCCCCATCGAAGCTCTTCCCACTGGAGGGAGCTGAGGGAGGTGGGGGAGAGCTCTGGAAGGTGGGCAAGGTCACCTTTTTGGAGGGATTGGAGGGGAGGGTACGGACTAGGTGACCCCTCACAGTTCCTCCAGGCCCAGGATCCTGGGATGGGGCCCCACAGGACCTGAGCAGGGAGGCAGGGGCAAGAAAATATAAGCCAGACTGCTAGGTTCAGAGCCTTGAGACCATGCCAGTTCCTGTGCCCTCTCAGCCTGGTCTCCTTTATCAGTGCAAATCAGACTAGTGTATCATAATGAGATTATTATATTAGGTTGGTGCAAAAGTAATTGCAGTTTTTGCCACTTTTGTTTCTTTTTTTGTTTAGTAGAGATGGGGTTTTGCCATGTTGGCCAGGGTAGTCTAGAACTCCTGACCTCAAGTGATCCACCTGCCTTGGCCTCCCAAAGTGCTGGTATTACAGGCATGAGCCACCACGCCCAGCTGGTTTTTGCCATTTTTTAAAAAATGTTTTTTGATCCATTTTAAAGGATTTGCCATTTTTTAAAAAAATGGTTTTGCCATTAAAATAAAAAGTCACAAAAGGCCGGGCGCAGTGACTCACGCCTGTAATCCCAGCACTTTGGGAGGCCAAGGCAGGCAGATCACGAAGTCAAGAGATCGAGACCATCCTGGCCAACGTGGTGAAACCCTGTCTCTACTAAAAATACAAAAATTAGCATGGTGACGTGCACCTGTAGTCCCAGCTACTCCCGAGGCTGAGTCAGGAGAATCACTTGAACCCAGGAGGCGGAGGTTGCAGTGAGCCGAGATCGTGCCCCCACTGCACTCCAGCCTGGCAACAAAGTGAGACTCCATCTCAAAAAAAAAAAAAAAAAGGCCGGGCACAGTGGCTCACACCTGTAATCCCAGCACTTTGGGAGGCCAAGGCGGGTGGGTCACGAGGTCAGGAGATCGAGACCATCCTGGCTAACATGGTAAAATGCCTTCTCTACTAAAAAACAAAAAATTAGCCAGGCGTGGTGGCGGGCGCCTGTAGTCCCAGCTACTCGGGAGGCTGAGGCAGGAGAATGGCGTAAACCCGGGAGCTTGCGGTGAGCCAAGATCGCGCCACTGCACTCCAGCGTGGGTGACAGAGCGAGACTCCGTCTCAAAAAAAAAAAAAAAAAGTTTCACGAAAAAGAAAAAAAAAGGCAGAAAATGCAATTACTTTTGCACCAACCTAACAGAAAATGAAATAAACAGGCTGGGTGCGGTGGCTCACACCTGTAATCCCAACACTTTGGGAGGCCGAGGCTGGTGGATTGCTTGAGGTCAGGAGTTCAAAACCAGCCTGACCAACATGGTGAAACCCCGTCTCTACTAAAAATGCAAAAATTAGCATGGTGACATGCACCTGTAGTCCCAGCTACTCAGGAGGCTGAGTCAGGAGAATCACTTGAACCCGGGAGGCAGAGGTTGCAGTGAGCCGAGATCGTGCCCCCACTGCACTCCAGCCTGGCAACAAAGTGAGACTCCATCTCAAAAAAAAAAAAAGTTACACGAAAAAGAAAAAAAAGGCAGAAAATGCAATTACTTTTGCACCAACCTAACAGAAAATGAAATAAACAGGCTGGGTGCGGTGGCTCACACCTGTAATCCCAACACTTTGGGAGGCCGAGGCTGGTGGATTGCTTGAGGTCAGGAGTTCAAAACCAGCCTGACCAACATGGTGAAACCCTGCCTCTACTAAAAATACAAAAATTAGCCTGGCATGATGGCGCCCACCAGTAATCCCAGTTGCTCGGGAAGCTGAGGCAGTAGAATAGGTTGAACCCGGGAGGCAGAGGTTGCAGTGAGCCGCGATTGCGCCACTGCACTCCAGCCTGGGCAACAGAGCGAGACTCCATCTCAAAAAAAAAAAAAAAGAAAAGAAAACCGCAAAAAGTGCTTAGCCTAGTGCCCAACACATGATAAGCGCCCATTATTATTATGTTTGTAACTATATAGTTGCTAATAGTCTATATTAGTGTACTTTATTGTTAACATAAATGGCCAGGGAGCCACAGCATTGAAGGTGCTGAGGAAACAGAAACCCCTGTTGTTCTATGACCTTGGACAAGTTACTGAAAATTTCTTGACTTCATTTGCTGTAAGAAAATAATTGGGTCCAGGCCCAGTGGCTCAAGCCTGTGATCCCAGCACTTGGGGAGGCCAAGGTGGGTGGATCACCTGAGGTCTGGAGTTCAAGTCAGCCTGGCCAACATAGCAAAACACTGTCTCTACTAAAAATACAAAAATTAGCCAGGCATTGTGGCACATGCCTATAATCCCAGCTATTCAGGAGGCTGAGGCAGGAGAATTGCTTGAACCCAGGAGGCAGAGGTTGCAGTGAGCTGAGATCGCACCACTGCACTGCAGCCTGGGTGACAGAGTGAGACTCTGTCTCAAAAAAAAGAGATAAAATTAATCATAATCATTTATTTGATTTAGCCCAATATAAACATTATTAATGAGATCTTTCACTTTGTTTTGTATTAAGCCTAAGAACCGGTGTGTATTGTACCCTTACAGCACATGTCAATGTGGACTAGCCTCATGTCAAGCACTCAAGAGCCATGTATGGCCAGTAACTGCTGTGTTGGCCAGCACAGGTCTAGATCATGAGCTTTGGGATTCAGTAGTCGTGTGTTCAAGTCTCGGTTCTGCCACTTACTAGCTGTGTGACCTGGAACAAGTCACTTAACATCTCTGAGCCTTGTTTCCTGTGAAGTGGAGATAATAATAGCGCCCACCTTGTGGCGTTGTTGAGAAGACTTAATAAGATGGTGCAAGTATGGAGGCTTAGTGCCTAGAGAGCCCCAGGGCAGTGGGTGGGACCAAAATGCCATGTATGCAGATGGAGTCCAGGGTTTGGGAGTCCCCTGTCCAGCCCCAGGCTCACCGCCGTCTCTGCCCCAGGTCCCGGATGCGCCGGGAGATGTTGGTGGAGGGGACCCAGGATGAGCCAGACCTTGATCCAAGCGGGGGTCCTGGAATCCTACCGCCAGGCCACTCCCACCCAGACCCCACCCCGCAGAGCCCTGACTCTGAGACTGAGGACCAGAAGCCAACCGTGAAGGAACTGGAGCTTCAGGAGGGCCCTGAGGAGAACAGCACACCCCTGACCACCCAGGACAAGGCCCAAGTGAGGATCAAGCAGGAACAGATGGAGGAGGATGCTGAGGAAGAGGCAGGCAGCCAGCCCCAGGACTCAGGGGAGCTGGACAAAGGCCAAGGTCCCCCCAAAGAGGAGCATCCCGACCCTCCGGGTAATGATGGACTCCCAAAAGTGGCTCCCGGGCCCCTCCTTCCAGGTGGATCCACCCCAGACTGTCCCTCACTTCATCCCCAACAGGAGAGTGAGGCCGGGGAGCGACTTCACCCGGACCCTTTAAGTTTTAAGTCAGCCTCAGAGTCCTCACGCTGCAGCCTGGAGGTGTCACTGAACTCGCCCTCGGCCGCCTCCTCACCAGGCCTCATGATGTCTGTGTCACCTGTCCCCTCCTCCTCAGCTCCCATCTCCCCATCCCCACCTGGCGCCCCCCCTGCCAAAGTGCCGAGTGCCAGCCCCACTGCTGACATGGCTGGAGCCTTGCACCCCAGTGCCAAGGTGAACCCCAACTTGCAGCGGCGGCATGAGAAGATGGCCAATCTGAACAACATCATTTACCGAGTAGAGCGGGCTGCCAATCGGGAGGAGGCCCTGGAGTGGGAGTTCTGAAGGCAGGGTGAGGGGGCAAGGGACATACCCTGGTAACTACCTTCCTTCTCGCACTTACTCTCCTCAACAGGATGGGGTAAGGGAGGGAGGAACTCAACCATCAAAATGTGGACAGCAATGTTATGCCGTTTACGTTTTTTGTTGTAATCCTAGTTCTATGAAGCTGTGTGAGCAGGTGGGTCAAATGCCATTGCCTCCACTTTTCTGCACCCCCCTGCTCCTCTTCACCCTGACCCCTCTGCAGGAGGCAGAAGCAAAATGGCACCACATATTCACCTGAAAACTCCAAACTCTTTTAGAAAAATAAATAAATATTTATAGACCTCTTTTAGATATTTTAATAAAGGATCCTTTGGAATTTATCCCAGCTGATGCTGTTTTGATATTACAGAGAGTTATAAAATCAGGATGCTGTCACAACTGTTGCGAAGTATACACTGAAGTTGTGTCGTTTTTGCCACTAGATGAGATTAAAAGAAGACAATTATTCAAAGCCATCACAAAACACTATAAGACTGACCAAAATTTAGATAACCTTTGAACCACGATTTTTTTCCACATCTGTCTGTGAGACACAGCGCAATGCTACTGCCCTTCCAGAAACTGTGCTAAAAAGAGAAAGTCCAAAAGACTCTAAACAAAAACCTCGACGCCGTTGAGGATGTGTTTCATTCTGGTGGTCTGTTTTGCAAGCTTGATAACAGAATGTCCGTGCCATTGTAAATGTTGTAGAGATGTGGGCCGTGGCCCAACCGTCCTATATGAGATGTAGCATGGTACAGAACAAACTGCT
Organism: Homo sapiens; assembly: GCF_000001405.40. Classification (NCBI taxonomy): domain Eukaryota; kingdom Metazoa; phylum Chordata; class Mammalia; order Primates; family Hominidae; genus Homo; species Homo sapiens. The sequence goes on from NC_000012.12 coordinate 111,349,119, forward strand.
TACACAGGTCTCACTAGTTAGAAACCTGTGGGCCATGGAGGTCAGACATCCATCTTGTCCATCTATAGGCAAGAAGTGTTTCCAGATCCTTTGGAAAGGTGGGCATGGGGCAGGTGCTTGGAGAGTGGCGTTTGAGCCAGAGCGACCCCATTTCCCGTGTGAACCATAGGCACAACCCAGGAAGTTTCCCCACTTGTAGGAGTGTGGGTATTCCAGAGCAAGACTGTGGCCACCATCTTCCCCTCTTGGTGTTTTCCGAAAGTGACAGTGTTGGTCATCCCATGACCACTGAAGCTTAGTAACCAGCGCCAAAAAGTAGATTCATCAAACTAGAGACCCCAGCTCCCCTTCTCGCCATCTTCTTTCTCAAGTTGACCGTGGTGCTGTTTCTGGAAGGCATCTGCAACTCCAAGTCCATGCAGAACTCTGGAAGGCCAAGTTCATCGCAGCATGTTCACCATATCCCAGCCTCCAAATCTATCCTCCTACCTTCCAACGCATGACCTGTTGGGGAGCAGAGACTTAACCCCCAACTCAGAGGAACCCTTCCTCCAGCGTCTTTGGCATGGTTTCTAGGGTGAGAGTTCCCAATTTGGATAGAACGGCCACCATATTGGTTACTGAATCTCTCTCCCTTGTTTTTATTACGTTTCCTTTTTCAAACTGTCCATGGGAAGGCTGAATTGAGTGACTCCCCAGAATGAAGATGAGAAGGTGAATATAATCAATGCCAATGTAATGCCAGCGGGTGAGATGGCCGATGGAGGTTTCAAAGATGTAGCTAGCATTTTGAAACCATATGGGCAAAACCCGGCAACCAGAAGGGGACAGATAAGGACCGTTCCAGAAATCCCAACTCTCACACCCAGCCCAGGCTGCAGTCTCCACACCAAACAGTCAACAAAACACAAACCCTGAAGGAAAACCTTTTCCATACACCCAGGCTATGCATTGAAGAGTTTTCCACTGTATACATTTTTATCCAGATGAAGGTATTTTTATATTTTGACAATAGGAAACAGTGACCATTTTCAGAGTAATCAAATCTGGAACAAATGAAACATCTTTTAGCCACCACCACCCTGTTGCAATTAAGACAACCGTGGGGGAACACACCACTTTTTACTGTTGAAACCAACACAACGTTGAAATCCAGGCTTATACGCAGACTCCGATTCCTAGAGAACTAAATTTGGCTTTAGTGTGACGGGATTTGATTAAGCACTTAGTATAGTCTTTTGAACACGGAAATCCTGTTGTACTTAAAGCTAGCGGACCCGTGAACAACTTTGTCAGGTTCACGTCCTATAACGGTTAAAAAACACACACACACATACACAAACCGTTTCTATGAGAGATTGATGAACTTTGTTTAAAATTTTAAAAAAAGGAACACGTTCTGTAAACGAGTCGCTAAATACAGAATTGTATAATAATTCTGGGTGTCTTGCTTCTTTGTTCTGGGGCTAGGAGTACAAACTGGAGGTCAGATCTGGCCCTCAGAGATGTTTTACAAAATGGTATTTTTTAAAACTAGTTTTTAAGGCACAATGGCTCACACCTATAATCCCAGTGCTTTGGGAGGCCAAGGTGGGAGGATTGCCTGAGCCCAGGAATTTGAGGCTGCAGTGAGCTATGATTGCCAGTGCATTCCAGCATAGACAGAGAGAGACCCTGTCTCTAAAAAAAAAAATTTAAGCCTGGTTTCTAAATTGCCAACATTGGCTGGGCATGGTGGCTCAGGCCTGTAATCCCAGAACTTTAGGAGGCCAAGGTGGGAGGATCACTTGAGGCCAGGAGTTTGAGACCATCCTGAGCAACACGGTAAGACCCTCCTCTCTAAAAAAAAAAAAAAAATGGCCAACATTTAATGGGCATGTCCCATTAAAAAGCATGATTATGAGCTTCTCCAGGAAATAGTCAAGATCTTGGCCACACTGGGCCCACGTTCCAATGTGACAACAGCCAGATGAGGGCTGGCTGCCTTTAGATGGGGCACATGCCCATGATTTGCTTCAGCCCTCAACTGTGCAACCTGCCTGGGCCTTGTGGGCATCTGGGTTGGCAAGTGTGCCTTGTGGACCAGCCTGCAGCAGAGTAGAAGCTGCTCAGACTCCAGGGCCTGGTATGAGGAGTCAAAACTGCACTCTACCCCTAAACCAGCAAGTGAACCAGCTTGCAAGCTGTGCCCACCTCTGTACAGTGTGTGAGTGGTTAGTGCCCCCAGGCCCGATGGGAAAATGCCAAGAGGGGCTTCCTGTTGACCAACATAGCATCACACCTTTCCTAGTTGTATAACTGGGGCCTCAGTTTCCTCATCTGCAAAATGGGGGTATCACAGCAGCCAACTCAGAAGGTCATTGTGAATAATATACATGCATATGCATATGCGTAAAACTGCACGGCAGTAAGAACTCGATAACTAAATACAAAAATTAGCCAAGCATGGTGGTGGGCACCTGTAGTCCCAGCTACTCAGGAGGCTGAGGCACGAGAATTGCTTAAACCCATGAGGCAGAGGCTGTAGTGAGGCAGAGGCTGTAGTGAGCCATTGCGCCACTGCATTCCAGCCTGGGTGGGCAGAGTGAGACTTTTTTTTTTTTTTTTTTTTTTTTGAGACGGAGTCTCGCTTTGTCGCCTAGGCTGGAGTGCAGTGGCGAGATCTCAGCTCACTGCAAGCTCCGCCTCCCGGGTTCACGCCATTCTCCTGCCTCAGCCTCCCGAGTAGCTGGGACTACAGGCGCCCGCCACCACCGCCGGCTAATTTTTTGTATTTTGTTTAGTAGAGATGGGGTTTCACCATGTTAGCCAGGATGGTCTCGATCTCCTGACCTCGTGATCCACCCGCCTCGGCCTCCCAAAGTGCTGGGATTACAGGTGTGAGCCACCACGCCCGGCCAAGTGAGACTATTAAAAAAAAAAATGCCAGGCGCAGTGGCTCACATCTGTAATCCCAGCACTTTGGGAGGCCAAGGCAGGTGGATCATGAGGTCAGGAGTTCGAGACCAGCCTGACCAACATGGTGAAACCCCATGTCTACTAAAAATACAAAAATTAGCTGGGCGTGGTGGTGTGCACCTATAATCCCAGCTACTCAGGAGGCTGAGACAGGAGAATCGCTTGAACCCAGGAGGTGGAGGTTACAGTGAGCCAAGATCGTGCCACTGCACTCTAGCCTGGGCGACAGAGCAAGACTCCATCTCAAAGGAAAAAAAGAAAAAACTCGGTAACTATTAGTTATTGTTATTGTAAGTAGGGGGTAGGTTCTTCCAGCCTATGATAGTGAGTCTCTGTGCATCAGGCTGCAGGAGGGGTTTTTTTGTGACCTATGATGTCAGGAGAGTCCCTGAAGTGGCACTAAACATTACTCACCCATGAGCCCAGCCATGTGGCTGTCCCAAGACAGCCCTTTTCCCTTTGTCTGGAAATCTTCCAATTGCCCCAGTTTTTCCGTATATCCTTGCAGGGAGCGTTAAACAATTACCCCCGTCTCGGTTAGGATAACTAATTGCTCCAAGCCCAGCAGGACAGCCCACTGGGATGCCTGGGCACCCCATCATGGAGTGGTGGGAGTGGGAGGTGGCAGGTCAGGGCCCAGGCCCCCATCAGCCCTGGAGCTCCTGAGTCAGCCCATTGCATGTGACATTTCAGGCGAATGGATGGCCTGTCCTCAGAGCTGGGGAGGAAGATGGGAGTCAAGAGCCAAATGGCCTGGTTTCAACTCTGGCTCCGCCTCTTAGAGCTGTGTGGCCTTGGGCAAATGCTTAAACTACACAGTGCCTCAGTTTCCCAGCCATAAAGTGGAGGCGGTAGGAATGGCATCTTGCTCACAAGGTGGTTGTAAAGATTCAAATTAAACAAAACCAAAGAATACCCTTTCAGACCCTCAGTTCATTCACAGCTCTTGAGAAGGTTGGAGGTCAGAAACCCCCAGGGTGTGGCCCCCTGTGGGACCAGGCTGGCAGGAGTGGAGTCTGGCACCACGCAAGCCACCTGAGAACCCGAGGGAGCAGGTGCCTGTGGGCTTCAGGGACTGAAGCATGTTCTGGGTCATCAGCTTTGGTGTTGACAGGGTGTCTGCCACCACTGCCCTGGAGTGAAACAGGCAGCAACAGCGCAGCAAAATGTGGAATTCTGCACTGGGGGGCTGCGGGAAAGTGGAGGGGCTGGAGAGCAACGAGAAGGCCAGGACAGCCCCCAGGAGGAGGCGGGTTTGGATCGGGGCACAGAGGAGAGTGGAGAGCCCAGCTGGGGGCCATTGGGCAACTGTTCATCAGCTGCTAAGTATTTATTGAGTACCTACTGTCTGCTCAATGCTATAAGCATTTATTGAGTACATATTGTGTGCTCAGAGTTGGGTGGAGGAAACACAGGAGGCCATGAAGGTACAAGTAGTGGGGTCCAGGAAGGCTTCCTGGAGGACGGGGCATCCCAACTGATGCCTGAAAGATGACAAGAGTTAGAAAGGAGAAGTAGAGGAGGAGTGCAGAAGGAACCATAGGCAGGAGGTGGAACTGGGATAAGAACCCGGGAGGAAGAAGCCCAAAGGAGGCTGGAAGTTGAGGTAGGGCAGTGGGGAGGAAGAGGGATGGAGCCAAATTGTGAAGCACCTTGGGGCATGGCAGGGAATATGCCTTTCTCCTGAGGGTACTGGGGAGCCATGGAAGGTGTGAGGCAGGGGGTTGCTGTGGTCAGTCTAGCACTTTGAGGAGGTTAGGAGGTCCCATCTGCCTGGGTAGAAGGCACACCAGAGCCCTGAGGGCAGGCCCTGAGCCTCAGGCCTCCGTGCACTCCTCCCTCCTAGTTTAGCTCCTCCCACTGAGCAGGCAGCCCCACATCCCATCACCTCCTAGAAAATGCACAAAACCAAGCCCTCCCTAGCTGACTGGCCCTTGATGTGGTTGGTCATTCTGAAGCCCTACCTCCCCACAGCCAAGGCTTCAAGTTGTGCCGCTATGGAAACCAGGCTGCCTTTGCAGGTACCTGGGACGCTGAATGCACTCCCAATCCCAAGAGCAGGGGGCCTGGGGCAGGGAACGTCACCCAGATAGGCCAGCCAGGTGACCTTAACAATGGTGACTCCTCCCTCCAGGTCTGTTTCCCTGCCTGCACACAATGAGAGGGAGAAACAGTTAAGCTCTTTGCTGATCTGTGACCTTCTCCAGCCTCCTAGGGTATAGCTGTGAAAGTACAGGCTTTGAACTTAGCCTGGCCTGGGTTTGAATCTCCACTATCAGGTAATTCTAGAGCCCTTCCATGAAGCTTAGTTTCCTTAACTGGAAAATGGATTTGATCATCATAGCATCACTTTTACTAGTTGTCTATTACTGCATAAAAAACTATGCCAAGATTGAGTGGCTTAAAACAATAAGCATTTATCTGTCATAATCTCCATGAGTCGGGAATTTGGGGATTGTATAACTGGATGATTCTGGCTGGTAGGTCTTTCAGGAGGTTACAGTTGAGCCATCACCCAGGGCTGCAGTCATCTGAAGGCTGTTCTGAGACTAAAGGGTCTGCTTCCAAGATGGCACACTTCTATGGCCCACAAGTTGGTGCTGGCTGTGGGCTTTAGTTCTCCAGGTAGGACTCTTCACAGGGCTGCTTGAGCATCCTCACAACATGGTGGCTGACTTTCCCCGGAGTAGTCACAGCGGAGGATGTAGTGTCTTCTGTGACCTCGATTTGGAAGCCCCATTGTTGCATCCAGTGCAATCTATTGGCCACATGCGCCCACCATAACTCAGTGTGGGAAAGAACCATACCAGGATGTGAATACCAGGAAGCAGGGTCACCTGGGGCCCATCTTAGAGGCTGCCACCACACTACCTTATCATTTCTTCAGCTGTGGCCCTAGAATCCCTTGCACCCTACTCAAAATGCAGTTTCCTGGGCCCTGCCCAAACCTACTGAGCCAGGGCCCAGGAATCTGCATTTTTAAGAAGCACTCCAGGTGATTTGGACACAAACTAAGGGTTAAGCCCCACTGACTGTCATAGGTCTCAGAGAGACTTGTCATCCAGTTGGTTTTCTTCAGCCCCCTGGGTGTGCCAGCCCCTAGGATGGACACTGGCAAACAAGAGAATGACAGAATAGGAGCACAGAACAGATACTCACTGGGTGTCTTACAGTCTAGAACTGTTGGATTGAAAGAAATTATAACCCACTTAACTATGCAAATATTTATTGGGAGGATCCAGGGGAGATCTTCGAAAACCCAAAAACAGGAAGTTTAGCCAGGCTTCAATAGGTGTCGCACAGGCTATTTTGATCTTAGTTCTCTCTAAGGCCTGGCTGTTTCTCTCCCTGCCATCATGTCCCAGAAGGGTCGCTCAACCATCAGCTCTTAAGTTTAGCACTACGGATACCAAACTTAGTTCCCAGGACCCTGATTGGCTCAGCTTGTGTCTGACCAACTCTCATCCGATCAGCTGTAGGCAAGGAGGGAAGACTCAGGGGAGCTGAGAGAGGGATGGAAGCAAAGATTGGCTTCTCTGTGCCAGGCCCCAGGGAGGGACAGAGGGGAGGCCCCTTTCTTAAGGAGCTGCAGCCTAGAGGGCCTGGGTGCCCTGCCCTGGGATTTCTCAGCATCACAACTAGAGAAGCAATGACAGCTGTGCCCCTGGACCATGAAGAGAGGGTAGCAACCATGGCCCCGGCCCTCGGCTGCTCTCAGCTCCAGGCACAGGGGAACCGCAAAGGCAGCTGGCCCCTGTGTCAGGAGCAGGAAATCCTCTTGGAAAAAACAAATCTATGGGCCCGCCTTTATTTTTGTTATTATTATTGTGGTAAAATATACATAATACACATAAAGTTTGTTTTGTTTTGTTTTGTTTCGTTTTGTTTTTTGAGACGGGTCACTCTGTCACCCAGGCTGGGGTACAGTGTTGTGATCTCAGCTCACTGCAACCTCCACCTCCCAGGCTCAAGCAATCCTCCCACCTCAGCCTCCTGAGTAGCTGGGACTACAAGCATACACCACTATGCCTGGCTAATCTTTGTGTTTTTTGTAGAGACGGGGTTTTGCCATGTTGCCCGGGCTGGTCTCAAGCTCCTGGGCTCAAGCAATCTGCCCACCTCGGCCTCCCAAAGTGCTGGGATTACAGGCATGAGCCACCACGCCCGGCCATAACTTTGCCATCTTAAGCATTTTTGAGTGTACAGTTCAATGGTGTCAAGAACATTTATAACAATGAAGCCATCATCACCCTCCATCTCCAGAACTCTTTTCATCTTGCAAAACTAAACTCTGTCCTCATTCATCACTAACTCCCCATTTTGCCTCCCCTGAGCCCCTGCCACCCACTTTTCTACTTTTTGTCTCTGAATTTGGCTACTTTTAGTATTAGGTCGGTGCAAAATCAATTGTGGCTTTTGTCATTAATTGCAAAACTGCAATTACTTTTGCATCAAAATAATACCTCCTACAAGTGGAATTATATAGTATTTGTTTGATGGCTGGCTTATTTCATTTAGCCTAATATCTTCAGGGTTCATCCATGTTGTAGCATGTGTCAGAATTTCCTTCCCTTAAGGCTGAAAAATATTCCATTGCCTGGATAGACCACAGTTTCTTTATCCACTCATCCACTGATGGACACTTGGGATGGACACATGAGTAATGCTGCTATGAACATGGGTATGCAAATGTCTCTTCAAGACCCTGCTTTTGCCGGGTGTGGTGGCTCACGCCTGTAATCCCAGCACTTTGGGAGGCCAAGGCAGGTGGACCACCTGAGGTCAGGAGTTCGAGACCAGCCTGGCCAACATGGTGAAACCCCATCTCTACTAAAAATATAAAAATTAGCCGGGCATAGTGGTGCATGCCTGTAATCCCAGCTACTTGGGAGGCTGAGGCAGGAGAATTGCTTGAACCCAGGAGGCAGAGGTTGCAGTGAGCCGTGATCATGCCACTGCACTCCAGCCCAGGTGACAGAGAGAAACTCCATCTCAAAAAAACAAAAAACAAAAAACTCTGCTTTCAGTTCTTTCGGATATATACCAAGCAGTGAATTGCTGCATCACATGGTAATTCTATCTGTAACTATTGAGGAACCACCACACTTTTTTCCACAGTGGCTGCCTCATTTTACATTCCCACCAACAGTGCACAAGGGTTGTGCAATTTCTCCACATTCTGGCCAACACTTGTTATTTTCTGTGTTGACTGCAGCCATCCTAATTTGACTTGTATTTTGCTGCTGATTACTCATGGTGAGCATCTTTTCATGTACTTATTGGCCATTTATATATTTTCTTTGGAGAAATATCTACTCAAGTCTTTTGTGGTTTTTTTTGGAGACAGAGTCTCGTTCTACCCCCAGGCTGGAGTGCAATGGCACCATCTCGGCTCACTGCAACCGCCCCATCCTGGGTTCAAGCAATTCTTATGCCTCAGTCTTCTGAGTAGCTGGGATTACAGCTGCCTGCCACCACGCCCAGCTAATTTTGTATTTTTAGTAGAGACAGGGTTTCACCATGTTGGCCAGGCTGGTCTCAAACTCCTGACCCCAGGTGATCCTCCCATCTTGGCATCCCAAAGTGCTGGGATTACAGGCGTGAGCCACTGCACCTGGACTATTTGTTTTGTTTTGTTTTGTTTTTTGAGACGGAATCTTGCTCTGTCACCCAGGCTGGAGTGCAGTGGTGCCATCTTGGCTCACTGCAACTTCCACCTCCTGGGTTCCAACGATTCTTCTGCCTCAGCCTCCCGAGTAGCTGGGACTACAGGGACCCGCCACCACACCTGGCTAATTTTTGTATTTTTAGTGGAGACAGGGTTTTACCATGTTGGCCTGGCTGGTCTCAAACCCCTGGCCTCAGGTGATCTGCCCGCCTCAGCCTCCCAAAGTGCTGGGGTTACAGGCATGAACAACCTCGCCCGGCCTTTTGCCCAATTTTAAATCAGGTTTTTTTTGTTGTTGTTGAGTTTTAGGAGTTCTGTCTATAGTCTGCCTATCAGATTGCAAATGACTTGCAAATATTTTGCCCACCTTTTAAAAAAGTCTTCATCAGAAAAGTGCAAAACCTACAGCTAGGCTTAGACAACTTATTATTTTACCATCTTCGAAGAGTTTCATGTTGAATGCTGAGATTTTAGAAGTTGGGACAGGTAGCAGGAACTTTTTCTTTTTTTTTTTTTTTTTGAGACAGAGTTTTGCTCTTGTTGCCCAGGCTGGATAACCTCCGCCTCCCAGTTTCAAGCAATTCTCCTGCCTCAGCCTCCTGAGTAGCTGGGACTACAGGCATGCACCACCATGCCCGGCTAATTTTGTATTTTTAGTAGAGGCGGGGTTTCTCCATGTTGGTCAGGCTGGTCTCTAACTCCCGACCTCAGATGATCTGCCCCCTCAGCCTCCCAAAGTGCTGAAATTACAGGCATGAGCCACTGCACCTGGCCACAGGAACTTTTTCATAACAAAGTTTGTGCAAGGTGAGTGAGGTGAGGTCATCCGTGGAGGTGTTAGGGGGAGCAGACAGTTAGCACCAGATCTAGCCACACAGCACATAGTGGGGACAAAGCAGCCTCACTTAGGAACATCCAAGATGCAGGGCCATAGGGGGACATGATCTTCCTTCAATATTTGTTTACTCTTTAGGAAGGGATAAGAAGCAGTGGCCCCTTTACTGTAACAGGCAATCCCATTCTAGCCCCAACCTGCACCCCACTGAGCCAACAACAGCCCTGCAGTTGGTTACCCAGAACCACCCTGGAGTGTGCGCCAAACTCAGTATGGAGCACTTTCTTTAGAGTGGTCAGCTTCATGATTGCAAGATGGCTGCCACAGTTCCAGGCATCACAGACATTACTCCCCTTCTCCCTCCCCACAGAGAACAATGAAGAGATTTTTTTTTTTTTTTTTCCTGAGACAGAGTCTCGCTCTGTTGCCCAGGCTGGAGTGCAGTGGCACTCTCTCGGCTCACTGCAACGTCCACCTCCCAGGTTCAAGCGATTCTCCTGCCTCAGCCTCCCGAGTAGCTGGGACTACAGACGCATACCACCATGCCTGGGTAATTTTTGTATTTTTTAGTAGAAACAGTGTTTCACTATGTTGGCTAGGGTGGTCTCGAACTCCTGACCTCGTGATCCACCTGCCTTGGCCTCCCAAAGGGCTGGGATTACAGGCGTGAGCCACTGCACCTGGCCAATGAAGAGCTCTTTATTGTGTGTGTGTTTTGGAAGGAAAAAGACTCTTCCAACTCACATCTCATTGGCCAAAATCAGGCCACATGGTCGCTCTCTGGCAGTAAAGTTTAGCTATTCCCTGAGAGCCTATGGCAGCGTAACTGATTGCATTTGACTAAGTATTTAGGGTGCATGGATGTTTGGCAATCAGCCTAACCTCTCGCTGCAGTGTCCTGCTTGAGGGCCTCACCCTCTACCCCAAGTGGCTTCTCAGAATATTCCTTCTGACCACATACAGTGCCCCCTTAGACTTGTGCCCTGAACACCTCCCCTGGGTCCGGAGGAATCACTGACATATCAGCAGTTGGATGTCCAGCATTTTGCTGTTGACCCTCCCTCTTGGAGCTGTTTTTCTCTCCCGCTATTTCCCCTACTCTTTGCCCCATGCTGTACGGTGGCCGCGGTCACAAATGCCACAGGCAGTGCCCTGACTCAGCTTGTGTGGGGAGCCACTTCCCCAGCCTCCATCTGTCAGCTGTGGTCCCACAAGAGATGGAAAAAATTATTCAGCATGCACTAGATGCTCACAAGGGCCATGATTCCCTGATCTTCATACTTTTCATTTCTTGAACTTGAACAACGAGGACTTTAGGTTGCTCACGCTAAGCCACATGTTCCTAAATGTACAGGATTTTTCTAGGCTGGCAAGGGAGACCTGTGACCCAAGCTGAGTCCACGTGAAGAGGACCTAGGGCTTAAGTCCATCATGCTAGGCCACCTTGAGCCAGCCCCTTCTGTGAACCCATTAACCCAGTAGACAGACTCAATCAGTCAGAGAGCGGATACATGGCATGAGCACCACTACCAGCCACATGGTGCTCACGGCAGATTTTACTAATCAATCACAGACTCTTTCCCTCTGAACTTGCATTGGTGCTAGAATCCTCTTCACTCCAGCTCCCTCCACAGCCTCCATGAACTTATCAGTGAGAAGCACGCAGTTTCGACTCTTCCATCTGCCATCCTGATCAGGATTGTTAATGTCCCTCCCAACTCTCAGGTCTTCAGCCCAGTTAGCTTTCAAATCTTTGGCTTCTCCCTGCCTTCTCTACCTTCTGAAAAGGAACTTTGGGCTCCGTTTTCCCTCATATTCCTCCTGAAGACTCTGTCCTGTCACGGGATTTCAGAGATTTACATCCCTGCTCTTATACTCTCTAGCTATGTGGCTTTGGCAAGTTTCATAACCTCAGTGAGCCTGTTTCCACATCTGTAAAACGGGACCAGCATCTGCCTTGAGAAGTGAGAACGTGCCTGGCAGGGCACCAGCCATGTGGGACCACACACTAGTCCCTGCCCTTGCACAGCCTGCTCTGGGCTCTGCCAGGGAAATCAATCAAGGATTTTGATGGGGAAAAAAAATGACACAATCAGCCATTACTTGACAAAATTTTACTTTAGCCCTTGCATCTCCCTGCCAGGCTGCCGGACAGCTCCCCCGACACCCAACCCAGGAGGCAGCCTGATCCCACCTTGTGCTTTGGTAGGGGACATCCCTCACCCCTCTCTCCCAGGAGACCAGGGCCAACGTACCTTGAGAGTCTGTAAACCTACGCCAGGACTGGGGTTAACACCCCAGCCCACCAGCTGAGTCTGCCAGGACACGGGGCTCTGGGAAGCTCTGAACCCCTCCCATGCCCCAGATCCTGTGCCACCCACACCCACACCACTCAGGACTCTGGAAGGAGGTGAGCGGGGACCATACCAAGACCCCAGAGGTGCCTGTGGAGAGCAGGGCTTGCTGGGGGGAAGACAATGAAGCAGCCAAGGATCCCTCTCGAGGGGCTCTGTCTCTGGCTGTGCTTCTCCAGCCCAAGCTGCCCCTCTCCCCGGGGGCAGTGACAACTGTTCCCCCAGAGCAAGTCCAGAGTCACAGACCGTATCCCCTCCCACCAGCAAACAGGAAACTAAAGCAGTGAAAACATCAAGCTTTGTTGCCAGAGAAAAAAAAATGAACCCTAAGTATTTAAAATTCAGACGGAAGTCCCAGCCCACCGGGCCAGCCGTGAGCTGCAGAGGCCTTGATTGCAGACACACACCCCTCCATATTTCCCCAAGCTCAAGGGTCTCCAGAGACAGAAGGAAGGGGTTTTGGGCTGAGTCTGTCACCAAGAGGCAGCGTTTGGGAAAATCAAGGTCAGGGTGGAGGTGTCCTCAGGGGGCCACCGGTGTGGGGCACTGAGGACTGTAAACATGACCCAGGGTGAGGGCCAGGAGGTGTCCCAGCCCCGAGGTTCTCCCTGGATGAAAAATGGGCACTGTGGTGAGAAGAAAGGGGACCGGCGGTCAGCCCCGAAGCCAAGCAAGACCTGGTCCCCACCAGGAGTATGGGGGTGGGGGCTGAGCTCAGGAGGGGACATGTTAGAGGGGGCTGCCTGGAGCTGAAGAGGGGCTCTGGAAGCCACACTCGGTGTGCGGCTTTTTCTCCGCCACTAGGTCAGCACCTGGGCCTTCCTAGGCGGTGAGTCAGCTGGTGGCCTCCCCTCCCTGGGGGAACCTGCTAGAAGGTCACCTCGGGCCATGGCTACCCAGCCCAGGAAGGGAGGTCAGGCAAGCTCCCAAGGGGCCCCAGGCCTAGGGGCCAAGACTGAAGGATGCAGTCAAGGAGTGTCTGGAGAGCCCTGTGAGAGCCACCACGGAGACACAGACAGGGCCCGCGGCCAGAGAGCCACTGCCACCAGGAGCACCACCATGAGGCCTGGCAGGGGACTTTTGGCAGAGTCCTGCCTCAGCCAGCCCAGGCCAGGAGCCCCGAGGACCAGGCCACCTCACCCTTCCGGTCCTGCACTAACACCTGCACCTGTGTCCCCAGTCACTACCCTCCCAGCCACCGTCCTGCTCCTGGAGGCAGGCAGGCACAGAGCCAGGCCAGCTCCTCTGGCAGGTCCCGGAGCAAGGCCAGGCCCAGGTGTGGCTGCCATGACCGATCCTCCCTCTGTCCACCCTGAAGGCCTGGTCAGGAGCTGCACTAACTGTGCATTTGCTTTTCAGGCCACAGATCGCCCTCAGTCCCAGTGACCCTCTGAGCTGCAGGCCCGGCAATGCCTGTTGCCAGCACAGGCCTCTGCCCGGCAGCTCAGGCCAGCCTGGGGCCGGAGTTCTCAGGAAACCTCCCCCTCAGGCCCTGGATTCTCCTTAGTGTTGCACGTGACGTTCCCCTCAAGGGTAGGCCTTCTGGGTCACATGGTCCTAAAGGCCCACTCAGAATCCAGCACCTTCTCAGAGCCTGCATCCCCCAAAACCAGGCCACTCAGGGCCTGGGGGCCAGCCTTGCCCATGATTTCCCTCAGGATCTGCTCCCCCAGTCTCTCCAGGACCCGGCCTGTCCCAGAGGGCATAGAGCTTGTGTCCCCCTAAAACAGGCGCCCTGGTGGCCTCAGGGCTGGACCCGGCTGCTGAGCCACTGGCCACGCAGGGCCCGGATCTCCTGGCCATAGCACTCGTGCAGCCGGGCGAAGGGGGCCATGTCCAGGGGCCCGTGGGGTGCCGAGGCCCGGCGGCGAGGCGGTGGTGGAGGGGGCTCGGGTCCAGGCCTGAAGGTGGCCTCAGTGCTCCAGACAGCGCAGCCATTCTCCTTGGGCGGGAGGGCACTGGGCCGGCGGGGCAGGGGCAGGGCTGGGACCGGGGCTGGGGCAGAAGGCAGGGATGGGACTGGGGCCAGGGCAGAGGGCAGGGACGGGGGCAAGGGCAGGGACTGGGGCTGGGGCTGGGGCAGGGCCATGCCACCCCCGCCACGTACAGCCGCCAGCTGCTGCTCCAGCTCGCGCACCACCAGCCGCAGGTAGTCGAAGCTGGCACGCGACAGGGCCTTGACCCAGCCCTCCATGGCATCCTGACTCTCAGCGGCCAGCACGTAGGTGCGCGCCCGGGTCCCCGCAAAGCGCACAGCGAAGGCGAACTCCTCGGCGGCCTCCACCAGCTCCACAGTGCAGCCCTCCAGGATGATGACGCCCACGGGCTCACGGCTGGCAGCGTCCTCGAAGTAGAAGAGCATGTTCCCGCGCAGCACGAACCAGCGCCGGTGGTAGGCCGCGTGCCGCCCACCCTTCTTGTACAGGAAGCCTGCATTGTCCACCGGGGCGTCACAGGTGGCGTAGAAGGCCAGGCTGCGCTCGTTCAGCTTCATGGTGGCAATCGCGGGGCCTGGAGGGGAGCCTGGGGCCTGGACCCCATAGAAGGGCTGTTATGCACAAGGCCACTGACGCTAGGTCACCCAGTGCCCCAAGGGGACCTTGCAGCCACTCTACATCCCCGTTTCACAGATGAGGAAACTGACGCTCATAGGGTGGAAGCAGCTGGCCTATGCGCCCACAACTCCTAAGAAGCAGAGACAGGACTGGAACCTGGGTCTCACGGGCCTCCCCAGACAGCCTCATAACCTCCTACCCTCCTGTATCCCTGAAATAATGTTGTGAGTTCCTGCTGCATGCCAGACATTTCAGAGGAATGAACTCACTTTATCTCACAATAGACCTTAGGTCACAGGGACTGGCCTGGCACCAGTGCAACAGATGAGGAAACAGAGGCACAGAGAGGTTAACTGCTTCCCTGGTGTCACAAAGCAGGTTGGGCAGGGCTGAAATCCAAACCCAGGCCTCATTTCAGGCGCTGCTGTTTCCATCATCCCAAGAACAAGACCAGCTGGCCTTCTGCAGTCCCTGCCAGGTCCCAGCCCTGACTTTGTGGTTCGACTTTGGTTTGTTCATCCATGAAATGGATGAGCAGAACCAACTTTGGAGAGTTGTAGAGATTGATTTCATTCATAAAATGTTTATTAAGCATCTACTGGGTGCCAGGCATTGTTCCAGGCCTAGGGATATAGCAATAACAAGATGGACAGGGTCGTCCAGCCTGGCCAACACAGTGAAACCCCTTCTCTACTAAAAATACAAAAAATAAGCCAGGCGTGGTGGCGGGCGCCTGTAATCCCAGCTACTCGGGAGGCTGAGGCAGGAGAATCACCTAAACCCAGGAGGCGGAGGTTGCAGTGAGCCGAGATTATGCCATTGCACTCCAGCCCGGGCAATAATGTGACACTCTGTCTCAAAAAAAAAAAAAAAGATGGACACGGTCCCTGCCCTCGTGGTGTTGAAATGCCACTGGCAAGTGAAAGGGAGCAGACAGTTAACAAACAGATAAGACGTCTGCCAGGTAGTCTCATGTTCTATGGAAAATAGTAAGACAGGGGCTGGGCACAGTGGCTCACGCCTGTAATCCCAGCACTTTGGAAGGCCAAGGCCAATCCTTCTCACCTGAGGTCAGGAGTTCGAGACCAGCCTGGCCAACATGGCAAAACCCCATCTCTACTAAAAAACAGCCAGGTGAGGTGGTGCACGCCCATAATCCCAGCTACTTGGGAGACTGAGGCAGAAGAATCGCTTGAACCCAAGAGGCGGAGGTTGCAGTGAGCCAAGACTGCGCCATTGCAGTCCAGCCTGGGCGACAGAGCAAGACTCCATCTCAAAAAAAAAAAAAAAATAGCCAGGCATGGTGGGGGGTGCCTATAATCCCAGGTACTTGGGAGGCTGAGGCAGGAGAAGTGCTTGAACCCAGGAGACAGAAGTTGCAGTCAGCCGAGATTGCACTACTACACTCCAGCCTGGGGACAGAGCCAGACTCCGTCTCAAAAAAAAAGAAAGAATTTGGGGAAAGATGCAGGCCCAGGGCTAGGCTGACTTACAGGAAGGAGGGGCAGGGGGTCGACCCGTGCCATTTAGCATAGAGGACTCTAACTCCATGCCATCGGCCACAGTGACCCCATCCACCTTCCCCCAAGGAGTATATGATGGGGCAACGCTGGCCAGGAAGGACTTGTCGGGAGGTGGCATCTGCGTCCCTGGCCTGGCCACCTTCCCTTGGGGTTTTCCATGGCCATTTTGAGAGCCTGCCTTATCTCCCACTGCAGAGCCTCAGCCTGCATAGGATGGTAGCTACATTTTTCAAGAAGCAAAGGATATAAAGTCCTGGTACGCAGTAGGCACTCAGTGTTCATTCCCCTGCCTGGGTGGTGTCTTTCTCAGAGCCTGGTGGAATGAGGTCAGGGTGGTGGCTCTCCTGGGAGCAGGTGACCGCAGTGAGGCCCTGCCAGACTACCTGTCCTAGGGTGGAGGGGGTTGTCCTTGCCACCTCCTGTCAGCCACATAGGCAGTCAGGGAAGGCTTCCTAGAAGACGGAACATGAGTTGTGACTTAGAAACTGAGATCAACCAACCCAAATGCCCATCAATGATAGACTGAATAAAGGAAATGTGGTACATACACACCATGGAAAACTATCCAGCCATAAAAAGGAATGAGATCATGTCCTTTGCGGGGAAATAGATGGAGCTGGAAGCCATCATCCTCAGCAAACTAACACAGGAACAGAAAACCAAATACCGCATGTTCTTACTCATAAGTGGGAGTTGAACAATGAGACACATGGACACAGGGAGGGGCAGAACACATATCGGGGCCTGTTGGGGGATCGGGGGTGAGGGGAGGGAACTTAGAGAACGGGTCAATGGTGCAGCAAGCCACCATGGCACACGTATACCTATGTGACAAGCCTGCATGTTCTGCACATGTATCATGGAACTTAAAATAAAAAAAGAAACTGAGGTCAGTTTGTCCTGACCTAGTGGGAGGCCAAGGCCAGAGCCCCCAAAGTCTCCAGGTGTTGAATCCCCACCCTGCCTCTCAGCTACAGCTGTCCCTCTCTAAGCCGCAGGGATTCACGCATTCCCCACACCACCACCCATCAACTCCCATGTGGATGCTGGCCCCGGTTCTCACAGGACCCTCCCGCCCTGCTTGCCCAGTTCCGCTCCTACCTCTCAGGCCACCACTTGCCTCCCTGCCCTCTGCTCAGCTCCAGCCTCAGCTCGCTCTTCTCTGGATTCAAATGTCAGCTCTGCAGCATCTGGGCTGGGGGACCCCAGGCAGGCTATTCATCTCTCTGGGCCTCTGTTTCTGCATCTGTAAAATGGGATCGTAACAGTGCCTAAGTCAGGGCTGTTGTGACAATGATACAGTGACTATATGGACTTTGCGGAGCATGGGGCCAGGCACACAGTGCCTGCTGAGCGCGGTTGCAGTTCACATTTTTCTTGGCTTTTCCCCAAACATCCCTGTGTTGTGCTTCCGATCTCAGCAAATGGCCCTTGGTTTCCCTCTCACCCCCGCATCTGATCGCACATCAAGTCCAGTTGATCCCCCTCTCCAGCGTCTTCCAAATCAGTTGCCTAATCTGTCCACTCCACCTCCCCATTCTAGGCCCCATCACCATTCACTGGGATGGCTGCTGTAGCCTCCTCATAAGTCTCCTTGCCCCTCCCTGTCCATGTTCCTCAAGGTAAGATCCAAGCCTCCTTCCTAAGCTCTTCTCCGAGCCACACTGAAATCCACTTCCCACAGATGGATCCTGTGAAAATTAAGTCCAATCACACTCCTCCTCTGCTCTAAACCCTCCCATGGCTCCCTACTTCTCTCAGCATAAAATTAAATCCTTAGGCAGGGTGCGGTGGCTCACACCTGTAATGCTGGCACTTTGGGAGGCTGAGGGGGTAGGATTGCTTGAGTTAGAGACCAGCCTGGACAACATAGCAAGACCCTATCTCTATAAAAAATAGAAAAAAAAATAGCTGGGCATGGTGATACAAGCCTCTAGTCCTAGCTATCTGGGAGGCTAACATGGAAGGACCCCTTGAACTTGGGGGGTGACATAGTGAGATTCTGTCTCAAAAAAAAAAAAAAAAAAATCCAAGCCTCCCTTGGCTTCCAAGTTCCCTTTCCCTACCTCTTTCCCCCTTGTTCACTCAGCTCCAGCCATCCTGGCCTCCTTTCTGTTCCTCAAATACACCAGACACATCCCCACCTCCAAGACTTGGTCCCGGCTGTCTGCCTGCAGGTCTTCACAAGGCCAGCTCCCCATCCTTTGGTCTCAGCCTAGCTGTCACCTCCTCAGAGAGGTGGTCCCTGGCCACCCTATGCACAAGAGGCCCCCCAGTCCCTCTCCTGTGCCTCCACCTGAAATTAATACCTGGGTCATTTCTGCCTGCAGGGGCGTTTGTGGTCTGAATTCTAGTGCCTGGCATGCAGTAGGTACTCACACAGCTGTTTGATTCATTCTGCAGTATCTTCTGAAACCTTTCAACAGCCCCAAGACAAGGGATCTCACCCCACATTCACAGATGTGGAAATGGACACAGGGAGATTCAATAAGTTGGCTAGAGGCATACAACTGTGCCCAGAATCACATGCTCCAGGCAAGCCACCCAAATAAAGGGGCTGATCTTGGGGTCTCTCCACCCCATCAAGGCCAAAGGAATAGCAACTTCCCTCCTGCTCAGCAACCCTCCTCCCCCGACTGCCTAGATAGAGGCCAAACTGGTTCAAGGTCACCAGCAGGCACAGGACCCAGCTCTGCCCATGACCCCTGCCTCCACCAGAACTGGGAAGACAGGAAGCTGCAGGGGCACAGGCGCCAGCCTTGCCTGGAGCGAAGGCCTGGCCCCTGCCTTATCTCCCCACACTGTTTTCCAAGAAGTTCAGAGTCCACTGTGGGCACTGCTGCTGATTCAACAGCCCATGGCCAGACAGGAAGCTGGAGGGAGCCTGGCCCAGCTCTGCTCCCAAGGCAAAGTTCCTGCCTCCGCAGGTCCAGGCTGGAGGACCTTGGACAAGTCGTTTCACCTTTCCAAGTCTCAGTGTCCTCATCTGTTAAATTGGGCTGTGTGGCGAGGGTTCATGAGCTAAAAGAAGGAAAACCCACTGGCAAACTATGGGAAATGGATTGCAAATATTAGCTGCTGTGAGTCGGAGTTTTTTCTCAGCCTCATCTGCAAAATGGTGACGTTAACTTCCATCCCTCTAAGGGCTGAGTGAATTGACTCCTGAAGAGTCATTTTGCAAAATACTTGGTGGGTAGTGAGCTTTCAGGGAAAGAGCTGTCAAAAAGGCAAATAATTCATCCAAGATCTCCAGGGGCACAGCTGGCCCCGGAACCCAGGTCTCCTGGGAGACTGAAGCATGGCATTTTGGCACTCACATCAACGAAAAGAAGCCAGTACCGCAGGTCCTGGGGTTGAATCCAGCTGCCCTCAGTGTCCCCCAGCAGCGGGCGTGGGGAAGAGGGTGTGGCAGGCACAGGCTGAAAAACATGTGTGCCAAGAACACTAAAGAGCAGCCTGGCCGTCACCGCCCCAGCAGGGACCCCAGAGACACGCCAGCACCGCCGTCCAGACACAGGCAGCCCCCTTGTCCACGGCAGGGGCTGCTGCTCCAGGTGTGGCCCTGCTCCCGGCTGCTCTCTGTCCCTTTGTGTGTTGTGCGTGGGAGCTCTCTTAAGTTCCTTAAAGGACAGCCAGAGCCCCAGATGGGTGATCAGCGGCAGAATGGGGGGCTTATCCGCAGTCCCCACCAGCGGCAGACGTCCCTATGGGCTGAGAGAGGGGAGGGTGGTCATTGGCCAAGTTCGCCTCGGCAGCTGGAGAAGTCACCACTGGTGCGGAGTCCCAGCGGGGAAGATCCCCGCAACGCGCTCTCCAGGTGGCCGGGGGACCCCGAGGCCCAGGGCGGCCCGACCCGGGTCCCATGTCCTCGTGCATGTCCCCCCGCCAGGCCCGCCTTACCTCGCAGCGCAGGCCTAGGGCGGCGACGGGACGGGAGGCGCGAGGTTGCGGGGTGGCCCGGCCATGGTTCGGGACTGGCCCGGTGGCGGCGACGGCGGCGGCAGCGCTTTGTCTCCTGGGCGGCCGGGCCGGCGCAGCCGCGGGAGAGCGCGGATCCGACGGAAGGAGGCGGGAGCAACCGGACAGTCCGCGACCCACGGGCGCGCCCCTTTAACCCTTCCCAGCCTGCTCGCGCCGGGCCCGCCCCCGCGTTCTTCCCACCTCCCGATTGGCAGGCCCCGAACCGGCACGCCCCCGTGAGCCCGCCCTCGAAATCACTCTTAAAGGGTCCGCTCCTGGCTCGCGACTCCCCAGTTCCCTAGCCCAGAAAAGCGGATTGGAGCCCGGGAAGCTCATTGCGATTCCAAAGGTAAGGACTGGCCCAGGTCGTGGATTAGCCTGCAAAAGCATTTGGGGGTCCTGGGCGGGCCATTCGCTGAAGTCCTAGGCTTAAGTCCGAACTCCCCCCAGGACGAGGCAGGAGGATTGCCTGAGCCTAGTAGTTCAAGACCAGCCTGGGCAGCAGAGGGAGACCACCATCTCTACAAATAATAAAAATATTTGCTAAACCTGGGTTGCCAGGTTTAGCAAATTTAATGCCCAGTTAAATTAGAAAAATAGCTCTAATTCCTGAAAAATGTGTGAGTGGCAGAAAAAACAGCTGAATCCAGGACATTTGCGTACAGCACTGTTCCATACGGACAGGGCGCCTCGCAAGCTTCCCCTGGCTCCAGGTGAAGAGAGGAAGTTCTGGAATTAGGCAGACTTGAGTTCGAGTCGCACTAGGCCACTGAACACTGTGTGAGCTTAGAGAAATCATTTCACTTCTCTAAGCCTCCGTTTCCTCATCCGGAAAATAAAGACCATCATGATATGTAAAGTGCACGGCACAACAGAAAGCTCTCAAGAAATAGGAATTGCTGTTGTTTTTGCCCTGCCCACCTCCTTGAACCCTTCCTTCCTGTTCCTGCCGCCTCTTCTCCACCACCCGCCACCTCCCAATCACTATTAAGTCCTGGCCTGAAAGCAGGAAGAACAGGACAGACCAGGGTCAGCTCTCCATTGTACAGCCTCTCACTAAGCGCCTACTGTGTGCCAGGCACTGTACCTGAACCAGGTAAGCAGGTGCAGCCAGGAATCAAGACAACACAAATGAGTTCTGGAAGTGATTCATGCTAGGACTGTACGCTAAGGCAATGGGGCAGAAAGCCTGGGAGTGCAGTTTTTTTGTTTTTGTTTTTTGTTTTTTGTGTTTTTTTGTCACCCAGGTTGGGGTGCAGTGGCACAATCACAGCTCATTGTAACCTGAACTCCTGGGTTCAACCGAGCCTCCCACCTCAGCCTCCCAAGTAGTTGGGACTACAGGTGTGTACCACCACACCCGGCTAATTTTTTTTAATTTTTTGTAGAGATCGGGGGGGTCTTGCTATCTTGCCCAAGCTGGAAGTGCAGCTTTTAGACAAGGTGGTCAGGGAAGGCCTCTCTGAGGACAGACCTGGAGGAATGAGGGAGGGAGCCATGTGGTTATCTGGGAGAAGGAGGTCCCAGGCAGAGGGAACAGCAAGTGCAAAAGCCCTGAAATGGGGCCATCCTGGGCATGTTTGAAGAACAACGAGGAGACCAGTGGAGCCAAGTGAGCAATGGGAAGAATAGTAGGAAAATAGGTCAGCTGGCTGGGCGCAGTGGCTCACGCCTATAATCCCAGCACTTTGGGAGGCCGAGGCAGGTAGATCACTTGAGGTCAGGAGTTCGAGACCAGCCTAGCCAACATGGTGAAACCCGGTCTCTACTAAAAATACAAAAAAAAAAAAAAAAAAAAATTAGCCAGGCATGGTGGTGTACACCTGTAATCCCAGTTACTTGGGAGGCTGAGACAGGAGAATCACTTGAACCCAGGAGGCAGAGGTTGCAATGAGCTGAGATTGCACCACTGCACTCCAGCCTGGGTGACAGAGCAAGACTCTGTCAAACAAAAAAAAAACAAAAACAAAAAAAAAAACACAATAGATCAGAGATTATTGGCAAAGCCAGAAAGCCAGGTGACCTAGGGGCTTAAGGACCAGAGGAAAGATTTTGCTTTTACTCTAAGAAGAATGAGGAGCCATGGGAGGGTTTTGAGCAGAGGAGGGACATGGTCTGTGTTAGATTTAACATGGTCCCTGACTGCTATGGGCAGGGAATGATAGTAGAAGCCAGGCGATCAGGGAGAACACTACTGCAGTAGTCCAAGCAAGTGATGGTGGTGGCTTAGAGTGGAGCAGTGGAGGTGGAGAGAAGTGGTTAAGTATAGATATATATTTAATGGATATATGTATTAGTCCGTTTTCACACTGCTGATAAAGACATACCCGAAACTGAGAACAAAAAGAGGTTTAATTGGACTTACAGTTCCACATGGCTGAGGAGGCCTTGGAATCATGGCGGGAGGTGAAAGACACTTCTTACATGGCAGTGGCAAGAGAAAGTGAGGAAGAAACAAAAGCGGAAACCCCTGATAAACCCTTCAGATCTCGTGAGACTTATTCACTATTATAAGAATAGCGTAGGAAAGACTGGCCCCCATGACTCAATGACCTCCTCTTGGGTCCCACTCACAACACGTGGGAATTCTGGGAGATACAAATCAAGTTCAGATTTTGGTGGGGACACAGCCAAACCATATCATTTTGCCCCGGCCCCTCCAAATCTCACGTCCTCACATTTCAAAACCAATCATGCCTTCCCAACAGTCCCCCAAAGTCTTAGCTAATTTCAGAATTAACCCAAAATTCCACAGTCCAAAGTCTTGTCTGAGACAAGGCAAGTCCCTTCTGCCTATGAGCCTGTAAAATCAAAAGCAAGCTAGTTACTTCCTAGATACAGTGGGGATGCAGGTATTGGGTAAATACAGCCGTTCCAAATGGGGGAAATTGGCCAAAACAAAGGGGTTACAGGGCCCATGCAAGTCTGAAATCCAGTGGGGCAGTCAAATTTTAAAGCTCCAAAATGATCTCCTTTGACTCCGGGTCTCACATCCAGGTCACGCTGATGCAAGAGATGGGTTCCCATGATCTTGGGCAGCTCCACTCCTGTGGCTTTGCAGGGTACAGGCTTCCTCCTGGCTGCTTTCACGGGCTGGTGGTGAGTATCTGTGGCTTTTCCAGGCACACAGTGCAAGCTGTCAGTGGATCTACCATTTCAGAGTCTGGAGGATGGTGGCCCTCTTCTCACAGCTCCACTAGGCAGTACCCCAGTAGGGACTCTGTGTGGGGGCTCTGAACCCCACATTTCCCTTCTGCACCACCCTAGCAGAGGTTCTCCATGAGGGCCCTGCCCCTGCAGCAAACTTTTGCCTGGGCATCCAGGCATTTCCAAACATCTTCTGAAATCTAGGCAGAGGTTCCCAAACCTGAATTCTTGACTTCTGTGCACCCACAGGCTCAACACCACATGGAAGCTGCCAAGGCTTGGGGCTTCCACCCTCTGAAACCACAGCCTGAGCTCTGTGTTGGTGCCTTTCAGCCATGGCTGGAGCAGCTGGGACACAGAACACCAACTCCCTAGGATGCACACAGCACAGGAACCCAGGGCCTGGCCCACAAAACCACTTTTTCCTCCTGGACCTCTGGACCTGTGATGGAAGGGGCTGCCAGGAAGTTCTCTGACATGGCCTGGAGACATTTCCTCCATGGTCTTGGGGATTAACATTAGGCTCCTTGCTACGTAATGCAAATTTCTGCAGCCGGCTTGAATTTCTCCCCAGAAAATGGGCTTTTCTTTCTATTACAATTTACTTCTTATTTTTTTCTTTTCTTTTCTTTTTTTTTTTTTTTTTTTTTTTTTGAGACAGAGTCTTGCTCTGTTGCCCAGGCTGGAGTGCAGTGGTGTGATCTCAGCTCACTGCAACCTCCGCCTCCTGGGTTCAAGCGGTTCTTCTGTCTCAGCCTCCTGAGTAGCTGGCACCAGGTGCACGCCATTGCACATGGCTAATTTTTTGTATTTTTGGTAGAGATAGGGTTTCACCATGTTGGTCAGGCTGGTCTTGAACTCCTGACCTCAGGTAATCTGCCCACCTTGGCTTCCCAAAGTGCTGAGATTACAGGCTTGAGCCACCGCTCCCAGCCTGCAAGTTACCTCTTGAATGCTTTGCTGCTTAGAAATTTCTTCTACCAGATACCCTAAATCATCTCTCTCAAGTTCAAAGTTCCACAGATCTCTAGGGCAGGGGCAAAATGCCGCCAGTCTCTTTGCTAAAACATAACAAGAGTCACCTCTGCTCCAGTTCCCAACAAGTTCCACATCTCCATCTGAGACCACCTCAGCCTGAATTTTATTGTCCATATCACTATCAGCATTTTGGCAAAGCCATTCAACAAGTCTCTAGGAAGCTTGAAACATTCCCACATTTTCCTGTCTTCTTCTGAGCCCTCCAAACTGTTCCAACCTCTGCCTGTTACAGTTTCAAAGTCACTTCCACATTTTTGCCTATCTTTTCAGCAACACTCCACTCCTGGTACCAATTTACTGTATTCATCCATTTTTGCACTGCTGACAATGACATACCCAAAACTGGGAACAAAAAGAGATTTTTTGGGTTTTTTTGTTTTTGTTTGAGATGGAGTCTTACTCTGTCACCCAGGCTGGAGTGCAGTGGTGCAGTCTCAGCTCACTGCAACCTCCGCCTCCTGGGTTCAAGCAATTTTCCTGCCTCAGCCCCCTGAGTAGCTGGGATTACAGCTGCCACCACGCCTGGCTAATTTTTTGTATTTTTAGTAGAGGTGGAGTTTCACCATGTTGGCCAGGCTGGTCTCGAACTCCTGACCTCTTTTTTTTTTTAAATACTTTAAGTTCTACAGTACATGTGCACAACGTGCAGGTTCGTTACATATGTATACATGTGCCATGTTGGTGTGCTGCACCCATTAACTCGTCATTTACATTAGGTACATCTCCTAATGCTATCCCTCCCCCCTCCCCCCACCCCACGACAGGCCCCGGTGTGTGATGTTCCCCATCCTGTGTCCAAGTGTCGAACTCCTGACCTCTTGATCTGCCCTCCTCAGCCTCCCAAAGTGCTGGGATTACAGGCGTGAGCCACTGCGCCCGGCCAAAAAGAGGTTTAATTGGATTTACAGTTCCACGTGGCTGCGGAGGCCTCAGAGTCATGGCGGGAGGTGAAAGGCACTTCCTACATGGTGGCGGCAGGAGAAAATGAGGAAGAAGCAAAAGCAGAAACCCCTGATAAACCCATCAGATCTCATGAAACTTATTCACTCTCATGAGAATTACACGGGAAAGACCAGCCCCCATGATTCGATGACCTCCCCCAGGGTCCCTCCCACAACACATGGGAATTCTGGGAGATACAATTCAAGTTGAGATTTCAGTGGGGACACAGCCAAACCACATTAATATATATTTAAGATATATGTAAAATTTGATGATAGGTTGCATGTGGGGAATGAGAGAGAGACAGAGAGAGAGGAAGGAAGAAAAGGAGTTAAGAATAACTCCAGGGGCCGGGCACAGTGGTTCACGCCTGTAATCCCAGTACTTTGGGAGGCCAAGGTGGGTGGATCACGAGGTCAGGAGTTTGAGATCAGCCTGGCCAAGATGGTGAAACCCCGTCTCTACTAAAAATACAAAAAAAATTAGCCAGGCGTGGTAGTGGGTGCCTGTAATCCCAGCTACTCGAGAGACTGAGGCAGAGAATTGCTTAAACCCGGGAGGCAGAGGATGCAGTGAGCTGAGGTCACCCCACTGCACTCCAGCCCGGGCGACAGAGCAAAACTCTGTCTCAAAAAACAAAAAAAAAGAAAAGAAGAAAAAGAACTCCAGGGCCAGGTATGCTGGCTTACATCTGTAATCCCCGCACTTTGGGAAGCCGAGGCAGGAGGATCACTTGAGCCTGGGAGTTTGAGACCAGCTTGGGCAACACAGGGAGACCCCATCTCTACAAATGATAAAAATATTACCCAGGGCTGGACACAGTGGCTCACACCAGCAATCCCAGAACTTTGGGAGGCCAAGGTGGGTGGAGACCTCGTCTCTACAAAAAATAAAAAATAAAAATAAAAAGGACTCTCAACTTTTGGACCTAAGTAATGGGAAAAATGGAGATTCGAAGGGAAAAATCCAGATTAGTCTTTTCATCAAATTGAGCTGGAATAACTGGATATTCATATAGAAAAAAACAGCCTTGATACTTACCTCATGCCATACATAAAAATTAACTCAAAATACATCAAACTCTTGCACATAAAAGCTAAACTCTAAAATCTCTAGAAGAAAATAGGGGCTGCCAGGCACAATGGCTCATGCCTGTAATCTCAGCACTTTGGGAGGCCAAACAAAGTGCGAGGATCGCCTGAGTTAGTGACCAGCCTGGGCAAAATAGTAAGAACCCATCTCTTAAAAAATTGTTTTTTAATTAGCTGGGTGTGGTGGCGCATGCCTGTAGTCCCAGCTACTCAGGAACCTGAGGCAGGAGGATCGCTTGAGCCCAGGAGGTCAAGGCCGCAGTGAACTAGGATCACGCCACTGCACCCCAGCCTGAACGACAGAGTGAGACCCTGTCTCCAAAAAATAAGTAAATAAGGTCGGGCACGATGGCTCACACCTGCAATCCCAGCATTTTGGGAGGCCGAGGCGGGCAGATCATGAGGTCAGGAGTTTGAGACCAGCCTGGCCAACAAGGTGAAACCTCATCTCTACTAAAGATACAAAAAATTGGGCCGGGCATGGTGGCTCATGCCTGTAATCCCAGCACTTTGGGAGGCCGAGGCGGGTGGATCACCTGAGGTCAGGAGTTCGAGACCAGCCTTACCAATATGGTGAAACCCTGGCTCTATTAAAAATAAAAATAATTAGCCGGGTGTGGTGGCGTGTGCCTGTAGTCCCAGCTACTTGGGAGGCTGAGGCAGGAGAATTGCTTGAACCCTGGAGGTGGAGGTTGCAGTAGCTGAGATTGCACCACTGCACTCCAGCCTGGACGACAGAGCGAGACTCTGTCTCAAAAAAAAAAAAAAAATACACAAAATTAGCCAGGCATGGTGGCACATGCCTGTAATCCCAGCTACTCGGGAGGCTGAGGCAGGAGAATCACTTGTACCCGGGAGGTGGAGGTTGCACCAAGCCAAGATCGCGCCATTGCACTCCAGCCTGGGCCACAGGGCAAGACTCTACCTCAAAAAAAAAAAAAAAGGAACTAAAAATAATAAAATAGAAAATCTTTACAACTTTAGGATAAAGATTTCTTAAGACTCAAAGAGCATAAACTAGAAAAAAATAAAAATTGGACTTCAGTAGGTTGGGGGGTTTTTTTTGTTTTGTTTTTTTGAGACAGGATTTTGCCCTGTTGTCCAGGCCGGAGTGCAATCTCAGCTCACTGCAACCTCCATCTCCTGGGTTCAAGCATTTCTTCTGCCTCAGCCTCCCAAGTAGCTGGGACTACAGGTGTGTGCCACCATGCCTGGCTAATTTTTGTGTTTTTAGTAGAGACAGAGTTTTGCCATGTTGGCCATGCTGGTCTCGAACTCCTGACCTCAGGTGATCTGCCGGCCTCACCCTCCCAAAGTGCTGGGGTTATAGGTGTGAGCCACTGCACCCGGCCCATATTGACTTTAAAAAAGATAAAGGTTGTTTTTAAAACCTGTTTAAAAAGAGAGAGAGAGGGAGGGAGGGAGGGACGGAGGGAGGAAGGAAAAGGGAAAGGAAAAGGAAAAGGAAAGGAAAGGAAAGATACCATCAGAGAAACAAAAAGATAAGCCACCAACTAACTGAGAAAAAAAATTTTCTTGATATATATATCTGACAGAATCTGAATGCCAGATCTATATAATGAAGTCTTACAACCCAATAATAAGATAAGCAACCCAATCTAAAGACAGGCAAAAGATGTGTGTGTGTGTGTGTTTGAGACAGGGTTTGGTCCTGTTGCCCAGGCTACAGTTCAATGGCATGATCTCCGCTCACGACAACCTCTGCTTCCCAGGCTCAAACCATCCTCCCATCTCAGCCTCCCAAGTAGCTGGGACTACAGGCGCGCGCCACCATGCCTGGCTAATTTTTTTTTTTTTTTTTTTTTTTTTGTATTTTTGGTAGAGATGGAGTTTCACCATGTTGCCCAGGCTGGTCTCGAACTCCTACACTCAAGCAATCCTCCCACCTGGGCCTCCTGAAGTGCTGGGATTACAGGCATGAGCCACCATGCCTGGCCCAGGCAAAAGATGTTAACAGATATTTTATAAAAAGCTGTAATATGGGCCAGGTGTGGTGGCTCACGCCTGTAATCCCAGCACTTTGGGAGGCCGACGTGGGTGGATCACAAGGTCAGGAGATTGAGAATATCCTGGCTAACCTGGTGAAAACCCGTCTCTACTAAAAATACAAAAAATTAGCTGGGCATGGTGGCGTGCGCCTGTAGTCCCAGCTACTTGGGAGGCTGAGGCAGGAGAATGGCGTGAACCCAGGAGGCAGAGCTTGCAGTGAGCCAAGATTGTGCCACTGCACTCCAGCCTGGGCGACACAGAGTGAGACTCTGTCTCAAAAAAAAAAAAGCTATAATATGATATACTGGCTAATAAGCAATGAAAAGATGCCCAGTGTCATTACACATCAGAGAAATGCAAATTGAAACCAAATGAGCTAATACCATGTTCCAATTAGAAAGGCCAAAATTAAAAAGACTGACAACACCAAGTGCTGGTGAGGATGTGGAACAACTGAACTTCCATACTGCTGATGGGAAGGTAGAATGGTATAGCCACTCTGGAAAACAAATTGGCAATTTCTTGTAAAAATGAACAGAAACTCTGCCAGGCAAGGTGGCTCATGCCTGTAATCCCAGCACTGTGGGAGGCTGAGGTGGGCGGATTCACCTGAGGTCAGGAGTTTGAAACCAGCGTGGTCAACATGGTGAAACCCCATCTCTACTAAAAATACAAAAGTTTGCTGGGCGTGATGGTGGGCGCCTGTAATCCCAGCTACTTGGGAGGCTGAGGCAGGAGAATCGTTTGAACCTTGGAGGTGGAGGTTGCAGTGAGCCGAGATCGCACCACTGCACTCCAGCCTGGGTGACAGAGCAAGACTCTGTCTCAAAAAAAAAATAAAAAGGCCGGGTGCAGTAGCTCACGCCTGTAATCCCAGCAGTTTGGGAGGCCAAGACGAGTGGATCGCCTGAGGTCAGGATCAAGACCAGCCTGACCAATACGGCGAAACCCCATCTCTACTAAAAATACAAAAATTAGGCAGGCGTGGTGGCATGCGCCTGTTGTCCCAGCTACTCCGGAGCCTGAGGCTTGTTTGAACCTGGGAGGCAGAGGTTGCAGTGAGCCAAGATTGCACCACTGCACTCCAGCCTGGGTGACAGAGCAAGAGTCTGTCTCAAAAAAAAAAAAAAAAAGAAAAAAAAAAAAAAGAACAGAAACTCGCCATGTACAACCCAGTAATCCCACTCCAAAGTATTTACCAAAGAGAAATGAAAACATGACCACACAAAGACCTGTATGTGACTATTCATAGCAACTTTATTCAGAAACACCAGAAACTAGCAACAACTCAAATATTCATCCACAGATATATGGAGAAACAAATTGTGGTACATCCATTTGATGGAATAGTGCTTAGCCATGAAAAGAAATAAAGTTTCCATTGACATTAAATAACCAGGAGAGCCAGCCACAATGGCTCATGCCTATAATCCCAGCACTTTGGGAGGCCGAGGCGGGCGGATCACCTGAGGTCAGGAGATTGAGACCAGCCTGGCCAACATGGTGAAACCTCGCCTCTGCTAAAAATACAAAAATTAGTTGGGTGTTGTGGCGTGTGCCTGTAGTCCCAGCTACTCGGGAGGCTGAGGCAGGAGAATCGCTTGAACCCAGGAGGTGGAGGTTGCAGTGAGCCAAGATTGTGCCACTGCACTCAAGACTGGGTGACAAAGGGAGACTCTGTCTCAAAACAAAACAAAACAAATAACCAGGAGAGAGAAATCCAAAGAGCAAGAAATATTTGTGGTTGCCCAGGGTTGGTAGGTAAGGAATAACTGCCAACCAGCATGAGGTTTCCATTTGCGGGGATGAAAAAGTTCTGGAACTAGATAGTGATGATGGTTGCCCAACAAAGTGAATGTACTTAATGCCATTGAATTGTACAGTTTAGCAGTTTAGAATGGTTAAAATCAGAGGTGTGGGGTGTGTGTGTGTGTGTGTGTGTGTGTGTGTGTGTGTGTGTGTGTTTGTCAGACACCAAACCAGATCCAGGATAAAATGGTAAGTTTTATGTTACCTGTACTTTTCCACAATTAAAAAAAGGAAAGAGGCTGGGCACAGTGGCTCACATCTATAATCCCAGCACTTTGGGAGCCCAAGGCAGGAGGATTGTTTGAGCTCAGGAGTTCAAGACCAGCCTGGGCAACATAGGGAGACCCCCATCTCTACAAATAATAAAAATATTAGCCAGGCTTGGTGGCACATACCTGTGGTTCCAGGTACTGAGGGGCTGAGGTGGGAAGATCGCCTGATCCTGGGAGGTTGAGGCTGCAGTGAGCTGTGATCACGCCACTGCACTCTAGCCTGGGTGGCAGAACGAGATCCTGTCTCAAAAAAAAAAGAAGAGGCTGGGTGCGGTGGCTCACGCCTGTAATCCCAGCACTTTGGGAGGCAGAGGCAAGCAGATCACCTGAGGTCGGGAGTTTGAGACCAGCCTGACTAACATGGAGAAACCCCATCTCTACTAAATATACAAAATTAGCTGGGCGTGGTGGCGCATGCCTGTAATCCCAGCTACTCGGGAAGCTGAGACAGGAGAATGGCTTGAACCCAGGAGGCGGAGGTTGCAGTGAGCCAAGATTGTGCCATTGCACTCCAGCCTGGGCAACAAGAGCGAAACTCCATTTCAAAAAAAAAAAAAGAAGAAGAAGAAAGACATGCAACAACCTGGATGCCTCTCAAACATTGAGATTCTGAGCAAAAGATGCTGTCTGGGTCCAAGTGAAAGATGATGGTGGCTTGGAAAAGGGAACAGCGTTGAAAAACTGTACAAGATGGTCACAGGTTAGAAGTGGGAGGTGAAGGGATGGGAGGAATTGATGCAGTGGCTAAGTTCCTGGTCTGGACATCTCAGCAACTTGAGCAGGGGGACAGGACCAGGACTCAGAGAAAAGAGTATAAGTTTGGTTTTAAATATGCGGAGAGACCCATTACATGTGAAACAGCCAAAATCACCTCTTCTAGGAAGGCCTCCTTGACTACCTGCTCTATGGCCACCCCCATCATTGCCAACCCTTGCTGATTTCATTTTCTCCACAGCTCTCATCACCGCCTGAGAAGTTTCTTGTCTGTTTATCTGTTTGGTGTCCATAAACACAGGAATCTTTATCTTCTTGCCCACCACCAGATCTCCAACACCTGTCTCCATACCTAGCACACAGTAGGTGCTCAGTAAATGCTTGTGGGATGAATGGAGCGCCACCTCTGGGATGTAATCTCCATGAAAGCTGAGGCTTTTGTTCTAGCACTGCCATGTTCCCAGCATGTGGCACACACCAGATCTTCGCTAAGTGCTTGTTAGACGAAGAGAGTACCCACAAAAAGACAGTCCCACCTTCTCATGTGAAGGCAGGCTCCCAGGCCAGCCCTGGCTATGGATGTTCTAGCAGGGTAGGGTTTCCCACTGAGCTTCCCACACCCTGTCCCCTTCCCCAAGGCCTCTTATCCACTTCCACCATGCTGTCAGCAAACTCAGATCCCATACTTTGTGTGTGCCTCACATTTCACAGGTCTGCCCTGGCTCAATGCGTTGTTGGTCACAGTCGGAGAGAAGGTCCCTGAGCCTTTGACCCACGGCATGGGGAAATGAATGCCTGGTCAGGTCAGGGACTCTTGGTTGTGTGATCCTGGGGAAGCTCCTCCCTGCTCTGGGCTTCACTCTTTTCAGGGAGACAGGGCTTGTGGACCTTGGAGAGTAGATATGTGGTGCCCCCAGAAAGACACACACACACACACACACACACACACACACTCACTCTTCCATGGAAGGCATATTGCCCATTAGAATAGATGTGTGGTGCCCCCAGAAAGACACACACACACACACATACACACACACACACACAAACACACTCTTCCATGGAAGGCATATTGCCCATTCCCTCTGCCTGGGCAATCAGAACGGTCTGTGCCCCTGGCTATGATGAGGGGTTCAAGGATAGACATGTGACCCATGCCTGGCCAGCCAGGCTCAGACCTGAGACCCTGTTAAGTGGGAGGAGCAACACCTGCCCCGATGGGACAGAGCCTGCCTGATAGTGAAGCCAGTGCAGAGGGAAGATGTGGAGGGAGAAGGCTACCAGGCAGCATCAGTGGAGCCCCTGGATTCCGGGCCAGCACTAATGCTGGCATCATTCCCAGGGCAGGAAGGGCAAGGTGGAGTATCCCCAAGTCTAGACGTTCACCAGGAAAGGAAAATGCCAGGCATATGGACATATGGGCCTTGATGTGGGTGAAATTCCAGGGGGCCTGCGAATCTTGGTTCTCAGAGCCCCTCATGCTGGAGTCAAAGGTTGACCTGGGTGAAGGAGGCAGACATCAGAAAGCATGAGCCTGGCTTTTTTTTTTTTTTTTGGTGGGGGGTTGCGGGGGGTTCCTTTTATTCATTATTTTAATTGAGGGAAAATTCACAAAACAAAAAGTTAACCATTTTAAAGTGAATAATTTAGGGCCAGGCATGGTGGCTCACGCCTGTAATCCTAACACTTTGGGAGCCCAAGGCGGGAAGATCACTTTGAGCCTGGGAGCTAGAGACCAGCCTGGGCAATACAATGAGATCCCATCTCTCCAAAATTTTTTTAAATTAGGGCCTCATTGAATATGGCCACTGCTTTTAGGGTTCCTATGTCTCTCTTCACAATCTGAGCCAGGCCTGCATGCCAGCAACCGTTTTCTAAGGGAACTGCATTTAGTGTTGATCTTGGTTCCACCAACTCTTGTGTGGGTATTGTCCAGCACAAAAAGGTAAAGTTAATTGTCAATGATTGGGGAAACTGAACCCCTCCAAGCTATGTCACCTTTACGGCTACTGAACGATTGATTGGTGATGCCACAAAGAATCAAGTGGCAATGAACCCCAACAACACAGTTTTTGATGGCCAACATCTTATTGGATGCGGATTTGATCATACTGTTGTCTGGTCTGATAAGAAGCACTGGCCCTTCATGGTGGTGAGTGATGCTGGCAGACCCAAGGTCCAAGGAGAGAACAAGGGAAAAACAAAAAGCTTCAGGCCAGGTGTGGTGGCTCACACCTGTAATCCCAGCACTTTGAGAGGCTGAGGCGGGTGGATTGCTTGAGCCCAGGAGTTCGAGACCAGCCTGGGCAACATGGTGAAACCCTGGCTGTACTAAAAATACAAAAATTAGCCAGGTGTGGTGGTGTGTACCTCTAGTCCCAGCTACTCAGGAGGCTGAGGCAGGAGGATTGCTTGAACCCAGGAGGTCAAGGCTGCAGTGAGCCATGATCACGCTACTGCACTCCAACCTGGGCAACAGAACGAAACCCTGTCTCAAAACAAAAAACTTCTATCCAGAGATGTCCCCTATGGTTGTGACAAAGATGAAGGAAATTGCAGAAGCCTACCTTGGGAAGACTGTTACCAATGCTGTGCTCACAGTGCCAGCCTACTTTAATGACTCAGCATCAGGCTACCAAAAAGATGCTAGAACTATTGCTGGTCTCAATGGACTTAGAATTAGCAATGAGCCAACTGCTGCTGCTATTGCTTATGGCTTAAACCAAAAGGTTGGAACTGAAAGAAATGTGTTGATCTTTGACCTGGGAGGTAGCACTTTTTAAAATTTTATTTATTTATTTTATTTTATTTTTTGAGACAAGGTCTCATTCTGTCACACAGGCTGGAGTGCAGTGGCACGATCTTGGCTTACTACAACATTGCTCTCCTGAGCTCAAGCAATCCTCCCACCTCAGCCTCCCAAATAGCTGGGATTACAGTTGTTTGCCACCATGCCCAGCTAATTTTTGTTTATTTTTTGTAGAGATGAGGTCTCACTATGTTGCCCAGGCTGGTCTCAACCTCCTGGTATCAAGAGAGCCTCCCACCTTGGCCTCCTAAGTAGCAGGACTATAGGCGTGCGGGATGTGGCACTTTTGATGTGTCAGTCCTCACTATTGAGGATGAAATTTTTGAAGTCAAATCTACAGCTGGAGAAGGTGGAGAAGACTTTGCAACCAAATGGACAGCCGTTGCATTGCTGAGCTCAAGTGCAAGCATAAGAAGGACCTCAGTGAGAACAGGAGAGCTGGCCGGGCATGGTGGCTCATACCTACAATCCCAGTACTTCGGGAGGCCAAGGTCGTTGGATCATTGAGGTCAGGAGTTCAAGACCAGGCTGGCCAACATGGTGAAACCCCATCTCTACTAAAAATACAAAAGTTAGCCGGGTATGGCTGGGCACGGTGGCTTATGCCTGTAATCCCAGCACGTTGGGAGGCTGAGGCAGGTGGATCACGAAGTCAGGAGATTGAGACCATCCTGGCTAACATGGTGAAACCCCGACTCTACTAAAAATACAAAAAATTAGCCGGGCATGGTGGCACGTTCCTGTAGTCCCAGCTAGTCGGGAAGCTGAGGCAGAAGAATCGCTTGAACCCGGGAAGCGGAGGTGGCAGTGAGCCAAGATCGCACCACTGCACTCCAGCCTGGACGACAGAACGAGACTCCATCTCAAAAAAAAAAAAAAAAAAAAAAAAAATTAGCTGGGTGTGGTGGCAGGCACCTGAAATCCCAGCTACTTGGGAGGCTGAGGTAAGAGAATCATTTGAACCCAGGAGGCAGAGGTTGCAGTGAGCCAAGATCGCATCATTGCACTCCAGCATGGGTGACAGGAGCAAGACTCTGTCTCAAAAAATAATTTTTTTTTTCAAAAATTAGCCAGGCATAGTGGTGGGCGCCTGTAATCCCAGCTATTCAGGAGGCTGAGGCATGAAAATTGCTTGAACCCGGGAGGCAGAGATTGCAGTGAGCAGAGATTGGGCCACTGCACTCCAGCCTGGGTGACAGAGGGAGACTCCGTCTCAAAAAAAAAAAAGAAAAGAAAAAGAGCTGCCCGCACGCCTTCATGCGGCTTGTGAACATGCAAAACATACTCTCTCTTCCAACACCCAGGCCAGTATTGAGATTGATTCTCTCTAGGCAGGAATTGACATCTATACCTCCATTACCATGCCCGATTTGAAGAATTGAATGCTGACCTGTTCCATAGCATCCTGGACCCCGTAGAAGAAGCCCTTTGAGACACCAAACTAGACAAGTCACAGATTCATGACATCACCCTGGTTGCTGGTTCGGCTTCTAACTGCAAGATTCAGAGCTTGCCCAAGACTTCTTCAATAGAAAAGAACTGAAGGCTGGGCATGGTGGCTCATGCCTGTAATCCCAACAGTTTGGGAGGCTGAGGCAGGAGGATCACTTGAGCCCAGGAGGTTGACACTGCAGTGGGCCATGACTGTGCCACTGCACTCCAGCGTGGGCAACAGTAGGAGACCCTGTCTCAAAAAAACAAACAAAACTGCATAGGAGCATTGACCCTGATGAAGCTGTTTCTTACGATCCAGCTACCCAGGCAGCCATCTGATCTGGAGACAAACAGATCAGAAAATCAGAAAATGTTCAAGACTCATTGCTCCTGGATGTCACTCCTCTTTCCCTTCCATTGAAACTGCTGGCAGAGTCACAACAGTCCTTGTTAAGCATAATACTACCATTCCTACCAAGCAGACACAGACCTTCACTACCTGCTCTGGCAACCAGCCTGCTGTGCTTACTCAGGTTTATGAAGGCGAGCGTGCCGTGAGCAAGGATAACAGCCTGCTTGGCAAGTTTGAACTCACGGGCATACTTCCTGTGACAGTGCTCCTCACACTGAAGTCACTTGACACTGATGCTAGTGACATCCTCAGTGTCTCTGCTGTGGACAAAAGTATAGGAAGCTGGGTGTGGTGGCTCACGCCTGTAATCCTAGCATGTTGGGAGGCCAAAGCAAGTGGATTGCTTGAGCCTAGGAGTTTGAGACCATCCTGAGCAACAATGGTGAAACCCCATTTCTACAAAACAATACAAAAAAATTAGCCGGGTGTGATAGGGTGAACCTGTAGTCTCAGCTACTTGGGGGTGCTGAGGCAGAAGGATCAGTTGAGCCCAGGAAGTCAAAGCTGCAATGAGCCGAGTTTGTGCCACTACACTCTAGCCTGGGCAAGAGAGCAATGTCTCAAAAAAATAAAAAATAGTACAGGAAAAAAGAACAAGATTACTATCACTAATGAATGACAAGGGCCGTTTGAGCAAGAAGGACATTGAGCGTATGGTCCAGGAAGATGAGCAGTACAAAGCTGAAGATGAGAAGCAGAGGGTCAAGAATTCATTTGAATCCAATGCATTCAACAGGAAAGTCACCACTGAAGATGAGAAAATTCAAGGCAAGATTAATGGTGAGGACAAACAGAAAATTCTTGACAAGTGTAATGAAATTATCAACTGGCTCCATAAGAATCAGATGACAGAGAAGGAAGAAATTGATCATCAGCAGAAAGAGCTGGAGAAAGGCTGTAACCCCATCATTACCAAGCTGGACCCAAGTGCAGGAGGACCGCCAGGAGGCTCACCTGGGGGAGTCCCTGGTCATGGAGCTCCTCCCTCTACTTCCCTACTTCCTCAGGGATTCAGCCATAGAAAAGAATGAAGGACTGCTACAAGCCACAATGGGATGAGCCTCAAAACCACGATGCTAAGAGACAAAGCCAGTCACAAAGAAACACGTAGTGTCCCTACTTCCTCAGGGACAACCATTTAAGAGGTTGATTAGGTCGGGCATGGTGGCTTACCCCTGTAATCCCAGCACTTTAGGAGGCCAAGGTGAGCAGATCACGAGGTCAGGAGATCGAGAACATCCTGGCTAACACAGTGAAACCCCGTCTCTACTAAAAATACAAAAAATTAGCCGGGTGTGCTGGTGGGTGCCTGTAATCCCAGCTACTCGGGAGGCTGAGGCAGGAGAACGGCATGAACCCAGGAGGCGGAGCCTGCAGTGAGCCAAGATGGCACCATTGCACTCCAGCCTGGGCGACAGAGCGAGACTCCATCTCAAAAAAAAAAAAAAAAGAGGTTGATTAAGCCAACCCCAATATAAAGATCACATGATTCCACATAGTCAAAACATTGAAGAACCCAAATTTGTAACAAATTCTGTGGCAGTTTTAATGCTGAGCTGCTAGGGGCCAGGTGTAGTAGCTCATGGCTGTAATCCCAGCACTTTGGGAGGTTGAGGCAGGTGAATCACTTGAGGTCAGGAGTTCAAGATCAGCCTGGCCAACGTGGTGAAACCCTGTCTCTACTAAAAATACAAAAATCAGCTGGGCATGGTGGTGCACACTTGTAATCCTGGCTACTCGGGAGGCTGAGGCAGGAGAATCGCTTGAACCCGGGAGGCGGAGGTTGCAGTGAGCAGAGATTGCGCCACTGCACTCCAGCCTGGGTGACAGAGTGGGACTCTATCTCAATAAATAAATAAATAAATAAATAAATAAAGTCGAGCTGCTAGAGTAAATTACTGGACATTCTCAATGCTTATATGGAACATGTGGAAGTAACATTGTAGTTTATAAGCACTGTATTCTAAGTGGAAAATGCAATGTCTTAAATAAAACTATTTAAAATTGGCACCTCCCAAAAAAATAGCCAATCTGGGTGGCAGGCACCTGTATTCCAAGCTACTCAGGAGGCTGTGGTGGGAGAATGATTGCTTGAGCCCAGGAGGTTGAGGTTGCAGTGAGCCATGATTGCTCCACTGCACTCCAGCCTGGGTGATGGAGCGAGACCCCATCTTGAAATAAATACATAAATAAAGTGGACAATTCAGCAGCATTTAGTACACTCACAACATTATGAAGGTACCACCTCTATCAAGTTCCAAAACTTTTATTTTTCCTTTTTACTTTGATAATTGGAAGCATTGATCATTCCAAAACATTTTTATCACCCCAAAAGGAAAAGCCCTGTATCCATTAAGCAGTCACTCCCCATTGCCCCTCCCCCCAGCCCCTGGCAACCAGCCATCTGCTCTCTGTCTCTATGGGTTTCCCTATTCCGGACATTTCATATGAATGGAATCAACACTACGTGTTTCTTTGTGACTGGCTTTGTCTCTTAGCATCGTGGTTTTGAGGCTCATCCCATTGTGGCATGTATCAGTCCTTCTTCTTTTCTATGGCTGAATCATGTTCCCTTGTATGGATACCCTAATTTTTTTTTTTTTTTTGAGACAAGATCTCATTTTGTTCCCCAGGTTGGAGTGCAGTGGCACAATCATGGCACACTGCAGCCTCAACCTCCTGGACTCAAGCAATCCTCCCACCTCCGCTTCCTGAGTAGCTGGGACTACAGGTGCATGCCACCACTCCAGGCAATTTTTTTGTTTGTATTTTTTGTAGAGACAGGGTCTCACTATGTTGCCCAGGCTGGTCTCGAACTGAACTACTGACCTCAAGTGATCCACCCACCTTGGCCTCTCAAAGTGCTGGAATTACAGGTGTGAGCCACTGCAACTGGCCAGATATGCCACCTTTGGTTTATCCATCCATCCATCCATTGAGGACCGCAGGGTGTCTCCGTTTGGGCTACTGTGAACACCCAGGCATCTTTGTGGCTGGGAACAGGAGAGGTGTGGAGAGCAGACAGTGAGTCAGAAGAACTAAAAAGGGAAATTTGGGAACTAGAACTGGGCTTTGGCCACCGAGATCAAGTCCTGATTTTACCTCCAAACCGTGTCTTGAATCCATCACTTCTCCATCTCTGCCACCACTTCCCCATCCCAGGCCACCACTATCTCTCCCCAGGTCGGTTACTGCAGCCTCCCTTCCGGCCTCCCTTCTGCCACTCCCAACTCCCTCATCCCCAGGGTTCATTCTCCACTGAGCAGCCGAGGGATCCTCTTAGAACTTTCATGAAATCAAGTCATGGCACCCTCTTGCCCAAAGCCTTTCCATGGCTCCCCATGGCCTTGGGAGCAAGTCCAGACTCCATCCCATGGGTGACAAGGCCCTCCTTATCCTGGCTGCTGGCTACCCCTCAAGCCTCTTCACACATGGTTTACTCTCCTCACGCTTCGCTGCAGCTGCCTGGCCTCCCTCTCTTCCCAGAGTGCGCCAGGCTCCAGGCCCTTGCATGTGCTGGTCCCCTTCCCAGGAGGCTTCCTCCTTCACTCAGCCACCCCTCATCCTTTAAGTGTTCACTCAGCCATTGCCTCTTCCAGGAAGGTCTGTGACCCCAACCCTTCCCCTCCCGCTAAGTCAGAGGCCTTCGCTGCTTCCCATTAGCCATTCTTTCAACCAGTATTTACTGGGCACTGCTTTGTCCCAGGCACCAGGGATAGAAGTTAAAAAGACAGGCAATGGCCAGGCACAGTGGCTCACACCTGTAATCCCAGCACTTTGGGAGGCCAAAGCAGGCGGATCATTTGAGGTCAGAAGTTTGAGACCAGCCTGGCCAACATGGCGAAACCCCATCTCTACTAAAAATATAAAGGTAGCCGGGCATGGTGGTGCTTGCCTGTAATTCCGGGGTTCTCAGGAGGCTGAGGTGGAAGAATCACTTGAACCTAGGAGGCAGAGGTTGCAGTGAGCTGAGATCATGACACTCCACACCAGCCTGGGTGACAGAACAAGACTCTATCAAAAAAATTAAACAATTAATTAAATGGTTA
This sequence comes from Homo sapiens, assembly GCF_000001405.40. NCBI lineage: Eukaryota > Metazoa > Chordata > Mammalia > Primates > Hominidae > Homo > Homo sapiens. The sequence continues at coordinate 111,388,699 of NC_000012.12, forward strand.
GTTTTGCAGGGCATGGTGGTTCACACCTGTACACTGGGCTTTTTTTTTTTTTTTTTTTGGAGTCCCACTATTCAGAGGCTGAGGCAGGAGGATCACTTGAGCCTGGGAGGCCGAGGCTACAGTGAGCCATGATCCTGCCACCACCACACTCCAGCCTAGGTGACAGAGCAAGACTCTGTCTCTAAATAAATAAATAAATAAATAAAATGGTTAGTTTTGCTGGGCGCAGTGGCTCACACCTGTAGTCCCAGCCTCTTGGGAGGCTAAGGCAGAAGAATCACTTGAGCCCAGGAGTTCAAGACAATCCTGGGCAACATAGCAAGATTCCATCTCTATGTAAAAAAAAAAAAAAATAGTTTTATGTTATAGGAACTTCACCTCATTTAACTTATTATTTTTTTAAAGACAGACAAGACAAGTGCCCCTGCCCTTCCTGACCAGAGGGGAAAATAAGTAAATAACATTCGTACAGTCCATGAATTGAAGTTAAGAGCCCAGGAGAAAAATAAGCAGGGCAAGAGGATATGAATTGTTCATGAGGATGGGTTGCAGGGCTTGTCATTTTACTAGGAGGGGACCGAGGAAGGCCTCCTTGAGAAGGCAGCCTTTGAGCAAAGACCTGAAGGAAATAAGGGCACAAACCATGCAGATGGCCAGGGAACAGCGTTGTTGGCAGAGGGAACAGCACATGCAGAGGCCCGCAGGCAGGAGGCCATGTGGCTGCAGCAGAGAGGAGGGGAGAGGAGAGATGACATCATGGAGGCCTGTGGGCTTTTCTCAGGAGGTTGGGAAGATGTGGCAGGACCCACAAAGGAAATGAGAAGATACAGCCAGTGACATAGGAGAAAAACCAGGAGAAGCCAATTGCAGGTCACGTATCTGGGCTTGATAACTATGGATGTACCCTTGGCGGGCTTCTCCCCACATTGGAAGGCAGGTCCAGGAAGGCAGGGGGTTTGGTCTGCCTTGTTCACCGCTGTGTCTCAGCACCTGGCAGTGCCCAGGACATAGCAGGTGCTTGGTGACGAGGATATGAGTCAGTGGCTGACCTGGTGTCCCCTGGCCCCGCTGTTTGGCATCCAGATCTCAGTCTCTGGACTGATGGCAGTGATGCCCCTCTTCACCTAGCCACCAGCAGGGGCAGATGGTGGTCCAGGTGGGATCTGAGGCGGAGCTTCCTTCCACCATGGCCACCCCACCCAAGAAGTGGGCTGAGCCAGCCACCCACAAGAGGGAACCGAAATCATCCTCCACCACAAACACGCTGGCCTGGCTCCACACTGGGCAGGACATGGAGGAAGGGGGAGCGATAGTGAGGGCCAGAGTCCCTCCACTTCAAGGGTCCCCTTCCCCTGGTATATACATGGGAAAAAGGAGACACCAGCCAAGGGCTGGGTTGCTGTGTGTGAGTGAATTTTGCTGAAGTCCCAAAGACCTGGAAGGTCCTGCCGGCTCATCCCCTGCCTCAAGTGCAGGGGTTTTTGTTGTTGTTGTTGTTTTAATTTTTTTTTATTTTTTTATTTTTTTGAGACAGAGTCTCACTCTGTCACCAAGCTGAAGTGCCGTGGCATGATCTCAGCTCACTGCAACCTCTTCCTCCCGGGTTCAAGTGATTCTCATGCCTCAGCCTCCCGAGTAGCTGGGATTACAGGTGTGCACCACATAGCCTGACTAATTTTTTTTGTATTTTTAGTAGAGACAAGGTTTCGCCATATTGCCCAAGTTGGTCTCAAACTCCTGAGCTCAGGCAATCTGCCCACCTCGGCCTCCCAAAGTGCTGGGATTACAGGTGTGAGCCACCACACCTGGCAAGTGCAGGATTTATGAGTCCTGCTTTAAAAGGTGGCACATGAGACATGGTGGCTCTCACCTGTAATCCCAGCAGTTTGGGAGGCTGAGGCGGGAGGAATGCTTCAGGCCAGGAATTCAAGACTAGCCAGGGCAATATAGCAAGACTCCCTCTCTACAAAAAATAAAAATAAAAATTAGCTGGCCGTGGTGGCATTCACCTGTACTCCCAGTTACTTGGGGGACTGAGGCAGGAAGATCACTCAAGCCTGGAAGGTCGAGGCTGCGGTGAGTGATCACGCCACTGCATTCCAGGCTGGGCGACAGAGCAAGACCCTGCCTCAAACAAACAAACAAAAAAAGCTGGCATTGGCAACTTCTCCCTTTATCCTTTTGTCCCTCCTTTAAGGGAGCCTCTCATTTCCCCCCAGACCCCTGCCACAGACACCCAAATTCCTGGACATTTTCTCCCAAGGGGCAATTTCAATTTCTAAATTTCACCTGCTCAAAGCAACGAAGAGGTATTGCCTGGGGCCGGGGCTGTGTTTATTTGACATGGTGCCTCACTGTGAATCCTCAACCCAAAGCTCCGAGATGGTGAGTGAGGCACCAGTGTTCTCACAGGAAGAGGCAGAGCGGGTGCTAGCCTACTGGTCACCAAAGCTGGTGTTCCTTTTTTTTTTTTTTTTTTTAGACAGAATTTTGCTCTTGTTGCCTAGGCTGGAGTGCAATGGCGCGATCTTGGCAAGAAATTCTCCCGCCTCAGCCTCCCGAGTAGCTGGGACTACAGGCATGCGCCACCATGCCCACAAAGCTGGTATTCCTAACCACCTAGCACTCTCCACTTCAAATCCAAAAAATCCTATCCAAGTACTGCTTTAGCAAAACCCACAACCAACCAACTCCCGCCCAGAAACCCAGAATGGCTGCCTTCTGTAGATAGATTTCGTGGGATTTATTTTCCTTCTGGCTCTTCAGGGTCAGGAGCTGAAGGGAGGTGAGGCTGGCAGGCATGGTTCCTGAGTCGCATCCAGGATTGCAGAAGAGCAGAGGAGGTCTTTCATTTGCCGGTGAAGCCCCAGACTCATAAAGCAACTTGTGCTGGGCGTGGTGGTCCGCACCTGCAGTCCCATCTACTCGGGAGGCTGAGGCGGGAGGATCGCTTGAGGCCAGGAGTTCAAGGCTGTAGTGCGCTATGATCGTGCCTGTGAATAGCCACTGCGCTGCAGCCTGGGCAACACAGCGAGACTGTCTCTTAAAAAAAATTTTTTTTTTTTTGAGGCGGAGTCTCACTCTTTCGCCCAGGCTGGAGTGCAGTGGCGCGATCTCGGCTCACTGCAAACTCCGCCTCCCTGGTTCACGCCATTCTCCTGCCTGAGCCTCCTGAGTAGCCGGGACTACAGGCGCCCGCCACCACGCCTGGCTAATTTTTTGTATTTTTAGTAGAGACGGGGTTTCACCGTGTTAGCCAAGATGGTCTCGATCTCCTGACCTCGTGATCCACCCGCCTCGGGCCCCCAAAGTGCTGGGATTACAGGCGTGAGCCACCACGCCCAGCCAAAATTTTTAAAAATAGTAAAAAGCAACTTGTAACCATGCATTAGGCTGGAAATTAATGGGTTTAATATGCATGAGTGGGTTCTAATCCCCACTCTGCCATTTGCAAACTGTGTGTCCTTCAGCAAGTCACTTTACCTCTCTGTGCCTTGGCCTCCTCATCTGTAAAACAGGGGAAACAGACTGGGCGCGGTGACTCACGCCTGTAATCCCAGCACTTTGGGAGGCTGAAGCGGGTGGATCACCTGAGGTCAGGAGTTCAAGACCAGCCTGGCCAACATGGCAAAATCCTGTCTCTACTAAAAATACAAAAAATAGCTGGCGTGGTGGTGTGCCTGTAATCCCAGCTACTTGGGAGGCTGAGGCAGGAGAATGGCTTGAACCCAGGAGGCAGAGTTTGCAGCAAGCTGAGATTGTGCCACTGTACTCCAGCCTGGGCGACAGAGCAAGTCTCCAGCTCAGAAACATAAAATAAAATAAAAATAATAGCTAATGTTTACCGAGCACTTGAGGGTTTTGCTTCTTACCATGACACTGATAATTAGGAAAGACTTTACTATCTCTATTTTAAACATAAAGAAACCAAACAGAGAGGTGACGCGGCTTGCCTGAAGTCACACAGCGAGCAAGTAAACCCGAGCTTAGAATCTGAGTAGCTGTGCAACCTTGGGCAAGTCACTTCACCTCTGTGAGCCTCAGTTTCCTCATCTGGAAAATGGAGATGATAAGGGTTGTTAGAAGAATTCAGTGAGCTTCATGGCCCATGAACTTGTCACTCTGTATTTAAGGGTATTTAACTTGTCACTTTGTATTTAAGGATTCACTTTCCAACTGCCTGTCTACCATGAGAACAAACACCATGTCTGCTGTGTTCCCCACTGTATCCCCAGTGCCTGGAGAAGTCCTAGCACATAGTAGGGGCTCAACAAATCTCAAGTTGAGGGGCAGTGTATTCTCTTGACCTTATGGGGCCCTAACTCCTCTCAGCCTTCCTCTGCTGCCTGGTGCTGCAAACGTCCAACCCCAGGGCCATTCCAGTCAACCCAATAGATGCAAACAGGACCATCCCAGTCTCCTGTTTCAGGTATGAGGAGCCCACAAAGCACATTTGGGTGTTATGATTGCTAGGAGGACCCAGTGCTGTTCTCTGGCCATTGCCAAGTGGCTAAAAGCTGCACACAAACAGGCTTCAGCCAAAAAGAAATGACTGACTTACAGAGCTGAGAAGTCCAAGAGTGACTGCTTTCAGGTATGGCTGGATCTAGGTGCACAGACATTGTCATCAAGATGGTTTTTCTCTGTCTCTGGGCTTTGCTCTACTATGAGTGTGTTCACTCCCAGGCAAGACAGCCCTCAGAAATTCCAAGCTCATGTCCTCTGGAGTGCAGTGACACGATTTCGGCTCACTGCAACCTCTGTCTCCCAGGTTCAAGCGATTCTGCTGACTCAGCCTCCCGAGTAGCTGGGATTACAGGCGTGCCACCACGCCCAGCTAATTTTTGTACTTTTTAGTAGAAATGGGGTTTCACCATGTTGGCCAGGCTGGTCTCGAACTCCTGACCTCAAGTGATCCGCCTGCCTTGACCTCCCAAAGTGCTAAGATTACAGGCATTGAGCCGCCGTGCCCAGCCCAAATGAGGTATTTTCTTATCCGACTGTGCTGTTAAAGACTGGAATTGAGGCTCATTGGCCCTGCCCACCCTTGAACCAGTCACTGGGGCATGGGAGGGAGGGTTAGCCCCAGAGAACATCTTGAACTCCGACTGGATGGAAAATCAGGTGCTTCTACCAGCACAAGGGGAAGTCAGGCAGCCACAGCCCATGTCCACTTCGACTTCGGCCTCACGGTGAGTGGCTTCCAGCAGGGAAACGCAGGGTCAGCTGCGCTCCCCACCCTCCAGCCCCACCCTCCGCTTTCTACTTCTGCTTCTAACAGTGTTGCCAAATACTCCCCTCTCTCCTCTCCTCCTTTCTATGGCCCTGTGGCCCCAGTTGCCTCAGAGACATGAAGTGACTTCCCCCAAGGTCACACAGCAGGTCTATGTGGCAGAGCCCTGAGGCGCACCCAGGCAGCTGGCCCCAGTGTCCTGCTCTTGACCCAAGAATAAGCTCAAGCCCACCCCTGTCTGAGTTCTGAAAGGAAGTAACTCAGGTGCCTGAGGCTCTGAAGATAATCCCTTTCCATCTGGGTGACTGATGGTCTGGTCTGATAGGCCTGAGAACCCCACAGAGGGCAGAGGAAAGTGCAGCTCCTTGCACCTTGCACCCTGCTTGCTGGCTTGGGGCACTCTCCTGGCTCGGGGCCCTTCCGGCCATGACCTCAACTCCTGCCTCCCTCTCTGGCACCCTCTTTTCATATATGTGTGTGTATATATATATATATATATATATATATATGGGGAGAGAGAGAGAGAGAGAGAGAGAGAGAGAGATGGGGGTTTCATCATGTCGCCCAGGCTAGTCTCAAACTCGTGAGTTCAAGCGATCTGCCCGCCTTGGCCTCCCAAAGTGCTGGGACTACAGACGTGAGCCACCACACCCAGTGCCCTCTGACACCTTCTGCCCCTCTCTGAGCATCTTGACATCTTACACCCCAGAGAGGCCCTGCTTGCTGCCTCCTCCAGTGCAGAGGGCACAGGTGGACAAGCTCCAGGGGCGGGCACCCCCATGCCTTTCTGCAGCCTCAGGCCCTGCCCAAGTCCCCTTGGGCTGGCAAGGGGCTCAGGAGGCCTCAAGTTGGTGATCTAGAACCAGGAAGCCACCCTGGCTGATTTGCAGGCGAGAAGTGGCCCGTACATATGTCACCTCCTCTGTGGGAGCAGCCCCAGCCTCTGCCAGGTTCTGGGGGTGTGGGAGAAGAACTTCCCAGCCTCTGCCGCACATCTGCATCTTGAGGTCAAGATCACCTGGGCAACAGGATGGGAGATGGAGGATGGGGGTGGGGTGGGGGGATAGGGCTGAAGGAATAGAGAGGGCAGGGTGCATCCTAACACCTTTTTCCACATTAAAAAATTTAAGGTGAAAGTCACATAACAAAATGAATTAATTAATTTTAGTTAGTGAATTAACTAAATTTATTCATTTACTTAGAGACAGAATCTTGCTGTGTCACCCAGGCTGGAGTGCAGGGGCAGGATCACCGCTCACTGCAGCCTCAAACTCCTGGACTCAAGTGATCCTCCCACCACAGCGCCTCCTGAGTAGCTGAGACTACAGGCGCATTCTACCTTGCCCGAATATTATTATTATTATTATTATTATTATTATTATTTTATTTTGTAGAGATATGAGTCTCACTATGTTGCTTAGGCTGGTCTCTTAACTCCAGGGCTCAAGTAGTCCTCCCACCTTGGCCTCCCCAAATGCTGGAATTACAGGTTTGAGCTACCGCACCCGGCCTCATGAAGTAACTAAATTTAGTACATTCACAGTGTTGTGCCACCATCATTTATCTCAGTCTAGATCCAGAACATTTCATCACCCCTAAAGGAAACCCCATACTCATTAGAAGTTACTTCCTATTCCCGCTGCCCATAGCCCATGGCAACCACTGGTCTACTTTCTGTCTCTAGGGGTTTACCTATTCTATATACTTTACATAAGCAGAATCACACAATATTTGTCCGTTTATGACTGGCTTATTTCACTTAGCATGATGCTTCCAAGTTTCATCCACATTGTAGCATATATCAATGCTTCGGTCCTTTTTATGGCTGTGTAATATTCCATTGTATAGATAGCATTGTCTTGATTCATTCATCCCCTGGTGGGCACATGAGTTGTTTCTATCTTTTGCCTATTGTGAATGGCACTGCTATGAACATTCATGTACAAGTATCTGTCTGAGTGCCTGTTTTCAATTCTTTTGCCTCTGTACTTTAGCTAACATTTTTGTTTGTTTAGAGATGGGGGTCTCACTATGTTGCCCAGCTTGGCCTCCGACTCCTGAGCTCAAGTGATCCTCCCACTTCAGCCTCCCAAAGTGCAGGGATTACAGGCATGAGCCATCTCACCTGGCTTTAGCTAACATTTTGATGCTTTTTTTTTTTTTTGAGATGGAGTCTCGCTGTGCTGCCCAAGCTGGAGTGCAATGGCATGATCTCAGCTCACTGCAACTTCCACCTCCCTGGTTTAAGCGATTCTCCTGCCTCAGCCTCCCAAGTAGCTGGGATTACAGGCATGCACCACTACGCCTGGTTAATTTTTGTATTTTTAGTAGAGACAGAGTTTTGCCATGTTGCCCAGGCTGGTCTCGAACTCCTGACCTCAGGTGATCCACCCACCTTGGCCTCCCAAAGTTCTGGGATTACAGGCGTGAGCCACTGCACCTGGCCTTGATGCTTCTTTTAATGTAGATTAAATGAGGCGGGTAGGATTAAGCTGTTCTTAGTAATCCACTCCTCATTGTAAAAGAAAGACCTGAGAACAGGTTTAGCTAGTAATAGTCAGCATTATTTGTTTATTTATTTATATATTTTGAGACAGTCTCACGCTATCACCCAGGCTGGAGTAGTGGCACTATCTCGGCTCACTACAACTTGTCCCTCCCAGGTTCAAGCAATTCTCCTGTCTCAGCCTTCCAAGTAGCTGGGATTACAGGCATGCACCACCGCGCCAGGCTAATTTTTGTATTTTTAGTAGAGACAGGGTTTCACCCTGTTGGCCAGGCTGCTCTCGAACTCCTGGTCTCAAGCAGTCCTCCCACCTCGGCCTCCCAAAGTGGTGGGATTACAGACGTGAGCCACCACGCCCCACTGGTGTCCTCATTCTTTGTTCCCATTTTACAGATGCGGAAACTGAAGCTCAGAGAGCCCAAGTCATTTGCCCAAGGTGACCCAGCACTGAAGGGAGAAGCTAGCCATTAAGCTGTCCCCAAACCCGTGTACTCAACGTTGATGGCTACTCGATGGTGGCTGAGAGGCATCCAACCTGGAGCCTGGGAAGCTTCCAGGAAGGCTTGGGGGGAATCCAAGAGGAAGGTTCTTTGCGGGAGAAAGAGTGAGGCAGGGGAGTTTAGGAGGCCGCTTCCCAGCCCTCGATCGCCCCACAGCCACCAGGGGGCGCCAGAGCCCCGCGCAAAGCGGCTGCCACCAAGTGGCTGCCACCGCGCGTTACCACCCTCAGGGCCTGATGCCTGGGACTGCGGCCAAGTCCCGGCCCCAGGAGCTCGCGTGCCCCACGTTGATCCCGGGTCACGGGTGGGGACGGCTGGGGTAACTGGGTTGTACGTCCTCTGCGGAGCTATTAGGGACTCTAATTACCGGGATTGGAAGTGAATAATTATCTACTGGGCCTCAGGCTACTGAGTCACTTCCCCCAGAAACCAGATTCCCCAGGCTAGCGGAAGAGGGGGCGGCTCGCAGGCTGAGGTTGGGGCGGGGGAAGGTGGAAGCGGGGGTCTGGGGTTGGGGTGCGCGGCCGCCGCTGTTTTTGGTCAAGATCAGAACTGGGGAGCCTGGGTGTAAATCGCTGCTGGGCCACTTACCAGCCACGTGAATTGGGGAAGTCACTTCACCTTTCGTGCCTCAGTTTCCTTTCTGTCAAATGGGGGAAAACAACATTCTCTCCTTACAGTTGTTGGGCAAAGTAAATTGTAATCTACCTAAACTAAGCCCTCAGAGTAGTCCCTGGCACATAATCCTCTAATAATTCATTAATCACTCAGAATTATTAATTAGGCCGGGCGAGGTGCCTCACGTTTATAATCCCAGCACTTTGGGAGGCCGAGGCGGGCGGATCACTTGAGGTCAGGAGTTTGAGACGAGCCTGGGCAACATGGGGAAACCCCATCTCTACTAAAAATACAAAAAATTAGCCAACCGTGGTGGCTCATGCCTGTAATCCCAGCTACTTGGGAGGCTGAGGCACGAGAATCGTTTGAACCCGGGAGGCAGAGGTTGCAGTGAGCCAAGATCGAGTCATTGCACTCCAGCCTTGGTGACAGAGCAAGACTCCCTCCCCCAACCCCCCCCCAAAAAAAAAGGACAAAAAAGAACATTAATTAATCATTAATCATTGGGCCGGGTGTGGTGGCTGATGCCTATAATCCCAGCACTTTGGGAGGCTGAGGCAGGCAGATCATGAGGTCAGGAGTTCGAGACCAGCCTGACCAACATAGAGAAACCCCGTCTCTACTAAAAATACAAAAATTAGCTGGGCGTAGTGGTGCATACCTGTAATCCCAGCTACTCAGGAGGCTGAGGCAGGAGAATCGCTTGAACCCAGGAGGTGGAGGTTGCAGTGAGCCGAGATCGAGACATTGCACTCCAGCCTGGGTGACAGAGTGAAACTCCATCTAAAAAAAAAAAATCATTAACCATTAATTCAGAATCATTAATTCTGTTATTATTACCATTTTTTATCACTTGGGCTCAGTAAGTGATTAAGAGGTAGGGCACTACAGTGAGGCCAGTCTTTAGTCCACACCAGCTGCTTCATTGCCAGTCGTGTGACATGGACATGTCACTTCACTGCCCTGTGCCTCAGTTCCTTCATCTGACAAATGGGAAAATGAATAGCAAACCGTTCATTTGGGGTGGAAGAGATAAGGCCTGTGATGTTCTCAGTGTGGCGCACGCTTCCATAAATGGAGTCCAGATTGTAAATACTGTTCATGCTTTTCTTAGGGAAGGACTTGTGGCAATTTTAGCTTCTAAGGCACTGGGAGGACAGAAAACAGAACTGAATCCAAGGGAAGGAAGCACAGGGAGAGATGACATCAGGCACTTGAGCTCAGCAGATCAGACCCTGAGCCCAGGAATCGGCCTTGGGAGTTCTGCCCACCCAGGCAAAAAGGGAAGAACCCAGTAATGTAATTATTTTCTGGCCTGGGGCAGATGTGTATTGACCAAGGGGGACCATTTCCTGAGCCCTCTTGGTCTCTGTTGGACCCTAATGGGTGGGAAAAGGGTTGGTTGGACCTCACCCCCCCAAGGTTTCTTGAGCTCTGTGTTAATTATTGATTGCTGGGTAACAAATTACTCCTGCATTTACTGGCTTAAAACAGCAAACCTTTATTATCTCATATGGTTTTAGGAATTCACATGCAATCTGACTTAGCTTGTAGTTCAGGGTCTCTCACTCCTGAGATGGTAGTCCGAAACATGGGCTGGTGGCACGCACATGCAGTTGCAGCTATTTGAGAGGCCGAGACAGGAGGATTGTTTGAGCCTAGAAGTTCAAGGCTATAGATCGTGCTATATGATCGTGCCTGTGAATAGCCATTGCATTCCAGTCTGGGCAATGAAACAAGACCCCGTCTTTTAAATAAACAAACAAACAAAAATGGGTTAGGACTGTTCTCATCTGGGGTCCAACTGGGGCTGGATGATTCACTTCCAGGATAGTTGGAAGTGATGGTTTCAGTCCTGGCTGTTGCCAGGAGGTCTCTGTTCCTTGCTGGCTGGTGGCAGGAAGCCTCAGTTCCTCTTCACACGGACCTCCATAAAGCTACTTGGGTGTCCTTAAGACACGGTGGC